>NC_000014.9:57187470-57490500 GCF_000001405.40 Homo sapiens
AATTGCTGCAGTGCGAGACCTGAGGGTGGGAAGTAGGTAGGAGAAGAGCATTCCAAGCAGAGGAAAAACCATGCAACAGTGTAGGTTTCTAGGATGATAGCCATCGCTGGCTGGAGAGAAAGGGCCTTGACTTTTCTCTGGATTTGGCAGTCTAAGGGGTTAGGATTTGATTTTTGAGCTGCAGATTTAGATCCAACTACTATACTCCTCTATATCCAATCTTCATTAAGATTTAATGAATTACCTATGTAGTCCTTATGAATTAATTGAGCAAAGCTGTAGGCAAGTAGTGTTTTCACTGTAGCAATCACTCAGTCATTTACTGGCAAGAAACTATGAGTACAAAGGCAAAAACAAAATTTGGTTTGAAGAACTATTTTGCAATGAATATATCAATAAAATTTTCCTACTATCTATCAGTTGGATTCATTAGCTTTTAAATATCAAATGCATGATTCTACAGCAAAACGGGCTTTTGAAATGTTAACAGAAAGAGGTATTATCAACATGCACTTATTAGGTTAGAATATATTCTAAACACAAAGGATCCCATCACTGGGGTTTTCATAGAAAGCTCTGCTGACGCAGCTTACAAAATACAGACCAAACCTGTAGCAGGTTGTGTCACTCACCCGACTCCAGAGGAACCCACTTTGAATGCTTCTACACACTCCTAGCAGCCAGAATGTCTCCTGGGAAGTACATTTTAGCCCTTATATCTAAATCCTTGCAACAAAATATAAGAAAAAAAAATAGAAGACGATGCCCAATAGTGACTGTTGGGAATGAAGGTCATGTTTATTTTCTTTTCATACTTTTCTGTACTTTCCAAATTTTCTGTAATGAATGTATTTAACTTCTTAAACATTCTCCAAAAACTACATAATTTAAAACATCATGAGAATACAGGAAAGACACTTGGGCTTCACATGTAGTCTATTTCGCTTTGTCGAATGGAACTGTGACAAAGACATTGACCGCAGTGCTTAAGTGCCTCAAAAAAAATTACTCCTGTTTCTGCTGTAAAATTTGTTAACTTTCACTCCTGTATATTTTCCTTTCTTAATGACATCTTGTTTTGGAGTTTATGATTTAACTAATTTTATTTTAATGTGTGATTTTAAATCAAATTATTGTCACAGCTGATAAAACAATTGTAATATAATGGCTTAACATTGATCTATTCCTTAGAAAAGCTTTGCAAGAAACCTAATAGGAGCAAGAGACTTGGAGGTAATTCATTAAAATTTCTCCAAAGAACTTATACCGAAGCACATGAAGTCAATAATGACAACATTTTAATCATTTATAAATACCAATAGCTAATATCATAATTTGATAATCAAATCAGGATTAATATAATCTTACAGACTGCTTCTTAAGAAATTAAATTATACAGAAAAAAGTCATCTCCTGGTCATACTCTTACACAGCAATAAATATTTTAATTGTAAATGTGCCTTTTAGAACCTTTAAATTTCAAAAAGATGAGGAGGAGGACAGATCCTGTGTACTTACTAATCTGTAAATAGAGTACCAGGCCAAGAATCAATTCTGAAATGCGGCATCAATTGCACAGGCTTCCACTTAGTTTTAGTTGAATAAAAGCCCTACTAGATACGCAAATAACATCAAACTTGCAGGATTAAAGAGAGGCCCCTCATACTCTAAATCATGATTGTCAATCATCACCCAGGATTAAGGGATATATTTTTAAAACCTAAAAGCAAGCGCCTCCTTTTAACTTCTGCCTACTGCGCATTTTGGATTATCGCCCAGAAATAGTATTACTTGAAACAAGACTGCCTCCCTCCTACCATCTATGAGAAGTGCATTGTTACCATCTGCTGTTGTCTATTTGGAATAAAACTCAGCAAGGCATGCAGCTTAATGTTCAGAGCCCTTCAGCAGACTATGCTTGTGTTTAGAACGCAGCTTCACATTTAAATGGAGCCGATTTTCGATTTAGTCAGTGTTTTCTCAAATTGCTATCCTCCCCACCAGAAAGAAGCAAATTAGTCTAAGAACTAAGACGACCACAACATATTTACATTGTAAAGTGGAAACTTCCTTTAAACCCTTCAGTGACCAGTGAAGCTTTATTTGTAAACTCTCCAGGTTTATTCAGGTGAATAATTTCCCCATTTTGTATTTTCTCATTAGCATTACCCTCTCCAGGCATCCATATTACTTTCACTATTAGAAAATATTATTTTAAAAAGCATGTGTTCTTAGGAAATAAGACTCAAAAGATGTAATCATCAAAGGGCCTTGGAACAGTTGGTGCCCTTGTAGGCCAGTAGTTAAGTGCAAATAATATCTCTAAAGTATCCACAACAAACTGATAACAGGTTTCTTCATCTAGAGGTAGGAGGAGACAGAAAGTTTGGAGGGGGAAAGACATTTTACTTGCCTCTTATTTTCTTGTGCTTTTTATTGACATGTAAATGTATTAATATTTTTAAATGTATTAAACATTTTTTAGTTATAACCAATAAGAATATTTAAAATTGTGAAAAAGAAAGAAAATATATACTGGTTCTTTAAATTTAAAAAAATCACATTCCAGGACTAATCTTATCAAGAAATAACTTTTTAATAAGATTATTAAAACAAAGTATTAATTTCTGAAAAGTTCAGCATTCTATTAAAGTACTAACAAAACACTGAATTACAACCCAACAGGTTGCTTCATTGAATTCATTCATCTGCTCCTGGCAAAGACATTCCAAATTTGAACTTAATTAATATTCCTTCTCCTGGTTTCCATAGTTTCTTTTTAAACATGAGTACCAGCAGAAACTGGCGGTAACTTTACCCATATTCTCAATAATAACCCCCTCTGGCTGTCAATATGTAGGAAAAGGAAAATTTTTTCCATACCCAGAAGAGCCGCCATTTTCATGCCTTTTGTTTAAAAATATACTGGTAACATTTCTTTCTCTCTCTTTGTTATTTCACATATGCAGTTTGACACACTTAATTCTTTCCCTGCCTGTGGCTCACTCAATGCTCAGATAAACAATAAATACTTAAGAGTAGTGTTGCAATTCCTGGATCTGAACAACACCCTCCCGTTCTACCTTTCCATACCCTCAGATCTGCAGGGCTCTGCAAAACTGGGACCTGATAATTAAATGTCCTGGTTGGAATCAATATTATGGCTTGAAAGTTAGTTGGGTATGGAACATTTCTTTGTTTCTATTCTAACATCCGAATGAAGATTTTGGCCACCATAAACAAAGGAATAAATTGGTAAGAATAATATCTGTATGAGTAAATGACAGGTGGATTCACTAAAGTGATTGGTTTAGGCACCACTAAAACACTGTATTCCATACATTTTCTCTAATGCTAGGTATTTTCTCCTAGCCCAGAGTGGATAGAGTCAGTCTCAGACCTAGTCTTGGGCTTCCTCTCTGTGCCTCTCCTCCTCTCGTATCCCTGCTTGTCCTACCCTGGCTGATTGCTTTCGTGAATTACTATGCTGGAGGGCTGTAGCAGCATACTAAGCATTTCTGTATCCACTTCATTTTAGTCTAGAATGTCCATGTCTTTCTGCCATGATGCTGTTGCTCTTATTTTTCATCTAGCTTTCCCATCTCTGTGCCTTGACACATTCTACACTGCCGATGCAAAATATTTCTGCCAAGTAAATGTGTCTGTTGTGGGTTACAATAAGGTTTACAGCCTTGATCTGGCATGAGCTCCATTTCCTCTGGTTTGCACAAATCAGGTCTGGACCACACATCACATCAGCCTTTGTGGCCCCTGCTTGTGCTGCTTTTAGCATTCCCTCCTCACTGGCCATCAGTGTCAGAAGTACATATGTAGACCCCACCCAAGAGGCCACATGGTCAGTGACCTCTCTGGTTACTTCTCTTTGGTCTTGCTGACAACCATGGCTATAAGAAGAAGTAACCACACAGGGCAGTCTGTTCTCACGGCCAGTACTGGCCTTGTCTTATCCATTGCTACTCTATGAAACTCTCTGATCCCCTTTCCTCTGAAAGGTTTTCAGTGAAAAAAATAAACTTGCAAGCAAAGGTCAATTAGAAAGACAACATGCCAGGAAACAATAGACTACTTTTTTTCTCATTGTATATTTCTCCAAAACTTTCTTTCTCCCCCTATGATTATATGTCAAAGGAAAAAATGCCTGTTTTTAATATGAAAAAGATGGGGCTTGCATTGAAACAACTGTTTCCCAAAGTCCTAAGAATAAACCCAAATGGAATTTTTTGTTTATCAATTTAATTTATTATTATTATTATTATTTTGAGACAGAGTCTTGCTTGCTCTGTCACCCAGGCTGGAGTGCAGCAGTGTAATCTCCACTCACTGCAACCTCCACCTCCTGAGTTCAAGCCATTCTCCTGCCTCAGCCTCCTGAGCAGCTGGGACTACAGGTGCGTGCGCTACTGTGCCTGGCTAATTTTTGAATTTTTAGTAGAGACAGGGTTTCACCATGTTGGCCAGGCTGGTTTCAAACTCCTGACCTCAGGTGATCCACCCACCTCAGCCTCCCAAACTGCTGGAATTACAGGTGTGAGCCACCGTACCCAGCCCCAAATAGGATTTAAATTCAAATAAATTTAAAATGTGCTTACCTTAAATTTTGAAAAATCTAAATAATATCACTGAAGAACATAAAACCAGATGAAAAGCTATACTATGTTCTGTGATAGAAATAACTTAATATTATAAAAATACCAATCTCCTCCAAATGAATATACCAATGCAATGTAGTTTCAATTAGAATGTCAGCCAACATGGCAGACATGCATACTGTGCATATCTCCTCTGCTTGCTTACATTCTTCATTGTCCCATCAGATTTCATTTAGCAGAACACAATTTCAAAGATAAAATTATCAAGAATTGCAAGACGGTGACAGCAGGGCATTAAACCAAATATAGACTCTTCTGGAGGCTAGTGAGCCCTGGGCAACTGCACAGGTCACACAAATATAAAGCTTACCCTGCCATTCTGGCCACCATATTTAAAACTGAAACTCTTTCTCATCAACTCTTCTTTTTCTCTGTTCCTTGATCTATTTTCCCCTCCCAAAACACTTATCACTTTCTAATGTATTGTATAACTGGTTTATTAATTATGTTGATTGTCTGCTTTCAGCTGCTAGGATGTAAGCTCAGCAATGTCTGGAGTCTTGTTCATTGATGTACCTCACATGCCTAGGACAGTGCATAGTAGGTGCTCAATAAATATTTACTGAATTGAACAAATGACAAGATAAACCCTTGAATGCTAATTGGGCATCTATCCTAGGATAATAAGAACTTGTGCGGTAGAGTCTTGTGGTGATGGTTAACTGGAAATGTGTGCATTGACTTCTGAACTTTGGGCACCCTTCCATGGAGAGCAAAGGAGACACTGGGGGCTCTACACACACACACACACACACACACACACACACACACACACACTTGTTCTGTTGCTCATTTGCTGGTTTGTCAGATAACTGAGTAAAAGCAACCTTATACTAGGGCCATGTTGTCATTATCACTCATCTTTAAACTTGGACCAAGCTTGAGGGTCTGGCAAACTAATAAAGCAAACTTCAGATCAGGCTCTGGGGCTGGCCTAGTCCAACATTCAGGCAACATTATTACCTACTAGCCCATTAATTCTTACCCACTAGCTCAGAAAGTGTGTACTCTCTAAGTAAGGAAAGGATTACTCCCTAAACTCTACATGTTTGTGCAGGTGTTTCTAACCTCTGCTCATGCTATGAAGGGCCAACATTGGTATTAAACATGCTGCATATTTAAGCATGAAAAGTATGGATTTTCCAAGAGTAAGGAAGAGTTTTGGAAGCTATGTCAATCAAAATTTGTGGCACGACTATTAACAGGGTTCAGCTCTGAGGGGCAGGATTATTGGGATTTTTCACTTCTAAAATTTTGTTTAAGTGATCTGCTTTTTAGGGGATTGCTGGATAGTTTGGGCTTCTGATAGTAGATACATCCATTATATTCTGAGAAGTTCAGTTTGTTTGAGGAAACTTATCCAGAATAGGCTCTTTTGTCATACAAAATAAATTTATTAATTTTATCAGTTGATCTTGAAGGAATATGTGAAGTCACAGAAAATCCAAATCCCAAAATTACAATCTGAGCAACTGATTTTGCAAATGCAGCGAAGTGTTCAATAGAACAGGTGCCAATGTTTGACTGCCCATGTTCAATCCTCTACCTGGGTGGATTCGCATTGGGTTTTACCTTCTTGTACCTGGGTGGATTTGCATTGGGTTTCTCCATGCCTCAACTGATGATAATAATGTTTGCATCTACCTCATAGAATTTTTGTGTAGATAGAATATGAAATCATTAAAATAGCATCTGGCACAGAGTAAATGCTCCATGAGTGTTAGCTGTCCTCATTAGGAGTTCCGTTTAGTACCTGGATATGGAGTTGGCTGTGCTGGGCTCTTGAAGCTCTGGAGATGTGCTTTCCTATGTGTAGATTTAGATAGTGTTCCTATGTGGTGATATTAAAATGAACTAACTTGAGATATGAGAAACCCACTCTACTGTGACTGACCTTCTGGTCCCATCTCAATCATTTTAAGGCAGAAAAATGAACGGGTCTTGAAATCAGGACTAATGGGGTAGGGCAGAAAGAGCTTCTCTGAGTCTGGATTTGGAGCATAAAAGTTCTCAGAGAGTTTTATTGGTGGGCATTAAGTTGACCTCAACATGTGGAGCCTGACAGAAACTCCAGAGGGTCCCTGATATTAAATTTGGGGCTGTTGAACCTAAGAAAAATCATTGCCAATGGCAAAGTAAATCACTTTGGAGGTATACTGTGGTTATCCCCCAAGCATGCAGTAAAACTTTATTAACCACTAAAACCTCAGATTTAGGGGGAATTCAAGGTGTTGGATTGGAGTTGTTACAGTTTTAATATTTGTTTAAAAATTGACCTTTTATAGCCCAAGCCAATAAAGCAGGAATACACTACACTATCTATTTCTGGTTATACTATACTGCATATTTCTATAATGTTTGGAGTATTTATAGCATGTATAATGAAAGGATAACAGGAAAAAATATATTATTAATACAAAAATATTATATATACATATGTTTTAACCCATCTACAGGAATTACTACAATAGTTTTTATGCTTTGAGGTCAAATTATGTTAATTATTAACAAGTAGTACAAGCTAGAAGTTGTATTATATCCAGAAAGTTCTAGAAAATGTGACTTTAGGTTCTATAGTATTTTTTACAGCACCATTAATGGCTATGAATAAAAAACTGAAGTAGTTATGTTTCAGTTACTTTTTTAAAATAACCCTTTTATTAGAATGTAACTTAAATTAATAAGTGAACAAATTGTAAATGTATTATCAATGAATTATTATCAAGTGAACACACTCATGTAACTCTGCTCAGATCAACAAATAAAACATCCTAGAAGCTACCATCTTGCCATCCTCAGACACCATCCTTCTTTTCAAAGGAAAGAGTGGAATTGCTGGGTAGGCATATGCAGTAGAAACAAACATAGTTATCCAAATAGCAATATATCTATCTATTCTCACCAGAAACATACATGAGTTTCACTTGCTTCACATTTACAAACACGTGGAATTGTTAGGGCTTATTTTTTGCCATTCTGGGGATGTGTAATGGCATCTCACTGTGGTTTTAATTTGTAATTCTCTGGTGACCAGTGAGGTTGAGGACCTTTTCATATGTCCATTGGGCATTGGATATTCTCTTTTGTGGATCAAGTCTCAAATGTTTTGCCCATTTTCTATTGGATTATATTTTTCTTAATGACATATACATTTTTCATATGTTTTGGATATGAATCTTTTGGCAACTATATTTTATATTGCAAATACTTGTTTTGCCTTTCAATTCTTAAACTCCTATCAACAAAACTTTTCAAGAGTCTTTATACCTCTAAATCCAGTTACCCAACCTCTTGGCCCCAAAGATTCAGAGGCTCTTTTGCTCCTACTTCTTCACTCTTAATTCCAAAGTCTATTCATTTTCTGCCTTAGGATAACTGGTAGTGGGAATATTTTTTTCCTTCCAGATGAAAGCTTCTGTCCTACCCACCCAGAGGGGGATCTGATTCCCACAGTCCAAACGGTAAAATTCTACCATAGCAGAAGGGATTTCTCAAAGCCCAGATAAGTCCACAAATTGATTTAAGCAGAAGTTCCTAATTTTAATTTAATTTAGTTTTGTTGTTTTTGTTACCTATAAAGATATCTTTGCTTACACCATCATGAAGATATTTGCCTATGTCATCTTCTAGAAGCTTTATTGTTTCATCTTTCATATTTAAGTGCATTATTCACCTAGAATTTATTTTTGTGTATGCTATTAAGAGGGGTCAAGATCTAGAGTGAGAGACAGTAGACCATTTTTTAAAAACTGCCTCTCCCCCACTACTCTGCAGTGCCAATTATGTCATAAATCAAGTATCTGTGCATTTGTCAGTCTATTTCTGGACTTCCTATTTTGCTCTATAGTTTTATTTCTTTTTCCTTGGCCAACATCAAATTGTTTTAATTATTGTAACTTTTAAATAAGTGTTGGTATCCAGTGGCTATTATTGGACCTTTGCATTTTCATATGAATTTTAGAATCAGCTTGCCAATTCCCATGACGAATCTGCTGATTTTAATCAGGATTTTATTAAATGTTTGGGTCACTTGGTGGAGAACTGATTTATAATATTGAGTCTTTCAATTCATGAATATGGCCTTTCACTCCCTTAATTTCTCTCAACGATATTTTACAGTTTTTCACAAACCTATATATTTGATGTTTTGGTGCTTTTGTAATTGGTATTTTTTAAATTTTATTTTCAAATTGTTTATTGCTGGTGTAAAGAAATAATTAGTTTCTTGTATATTGATTCTGTATCCAGCAACCTTGCTAAATTCATTTAATAGTTTATCTTATATGAACTTCCTATGTACACAATCATACCTGCAAATAATGAGTTTTATTTCTTACTTTCTGCCTTATTGCATTGGCGAGGATCTCCAGTACATTGCTAAGCAGAGGTGATAGCAAGGATCCTTGCTTCATTACTGACTTCTGGAAGAAAGCTTTCAATATTTCACCATTATAATAATGTTTGCCATATATTTTTTGCAGATACTTTGGCATATTAAAGAAATTCCTTTTAATTCCTAATTTGCTATGTTTCTTTAAAATAATAAATGGATATTGAACTTCACTACCTGCTTTTTTCCTGCTTCTATTGAGATGATTTTTTCCTAATTCTTTAAATATGGTAAATTTCATTGACTTTCAAGTGTCTAATCAACCTACTTTTGAAGTAAGTCTGATATGGTTGCAATGTATTCTCTATTTTACATACTACTGGGTTTGGGTTGCTAATATTTTGTTCAGGATGTTTACATCTATGTTCACGAGAGAGACTGCTCTGTAATTTTCGTTTCTTGTAATGTCTTTGTTAATTTTTCACATCAAGGTTATGCTGGTTTCATAAAATGTGTTGGGATGTTCTCTCTCCTTTACTACTTTCTGAAAGAGTTTAACAATATTGGTATTATTTTTCCCTTTAATGTTTGGAGGAATTTATCAGGAAAGTCATTGGAGCCTAAGTATTCTTCATAGGAAAGTCTTTAATTATGGATTCACTATTTTTGACATAGACTGTTAATATTTTCTAGTTTTATCTTATATCGATGTTGGTAAATTAAACCTTTTTTTGAAATAAAATAACCACTTAATCTATTATTTATGTTTGGTGGCAAGAGTTGGCGATAACCTTTTTTCTTTTTAATATCTGTAGAACAAATGGAAGCTTCCATTCTTATTCCTGAGGTTGGTTGTGCTTTCTCTTTTTTTTCTTGGTCAGTCTTGCCAGAGGTTTATCAGTTTTATTAGTCTTCACCAAAATAATAATAATAATAACCTTTGGTTTCTCCTTTCTATTTGTTTTTGTTTATATTTTATATTTGTTTATATTTTATTATTTTGTTCTAGTTTTTGTTTCCTTCCTTCTTTCCTTCCTTAATGTTTAATTTGAAAGTTTAATATTGAAGTGGATATTTAAATAATTGCTTTCAGCTTTCCTTTTTTCCTAATATATGCATTTTGCATCCCACAAGTTTTGATAAATTGCATTTTATAATTTTTTCAAATTTTTTAAAATTGAAATTGAAATTGAAATTGAAATTCAATTTAAAATTGAAAAATTCAAATATTTTAAAATTTCCATTGTAATTTCTTCACTCCTAGGTTAAAATTGCATTAATTCCCTAATGTATAAAAAACTTCGGTAAGCTTTTTGTTATTTTTGGCTTAATTCCATTGCAGTCACTGGAACACTCTGAATAATTTCAAATTTTTAAAAACTGTTAGGACACTATGGTCCAGCACATAATTTTGTAAATTTCCATGTACACTTGAAATGAATGTGTATTCTGTGGATATGTGTGACATTTTTAGTTTTATATAATCTCCATCACAGAAAAATAAAAAATTAAAATCTAAACATGTTTCTGTTTACTAACAAAAGTTATACATTAAAATTAAAATATTGACTAAATTTTCAGAATTTTAATGAAGTTTGTATCTATAACTTTTAGCTATTAAAATATTCAACATTCTGTAAATGCTCTTTTGGTCAAAGCCATTAGTAATCACACCAAAAATTATTTCATTTTGTTGTATTAATATAATTCTTAAAGTAGAATAGAAACCATAGGCAATGTAAGAATGACAATGTGGGATATTTTCCAACTAGATCTGAAAATAAAATTACCTCCAGAGTAATCTGGTAATCCTTTGGTTAACTAGCAGCCTGCTTTAAATAACCTGATTATGTTAAACCTCTAAAGGATTTTTTTTTTTTTTTAGACAGAGTCTTGCTCTGTTGCCCAGGCTGGAGTGCAGTGGCGTGATCTCACCTCACTCCAACCTCTACCTCCCAGATTCAAGTGATTTTCCTGCCTCAGCCTCTGGAGTAGCTGGGATTACAAGTGCCCACCACCATGCCCGGCTAATTTTTGTATTTTTAGTAGAGGTGGGGTTACACCATCTTGGCCAGGTTGGTCTTGAACTCCTGACCTCGTGGTCCACCCGCCTCGGCCTCCCAAAGTGCTGGGATTACAGGCGTGATAAATGATTTTTTTTTAAGTGTACTTTCAAAACCCCTATCTGAAATCCATGAAGTCAAAGGAAATGAGTTTGTGGTATATCCATAATGTGTCATTACACTTCCCACATAATATTGCCAAGGAGTCATTTTGTTGACCTTACTGAGATAAACATGCAACCTATGGAATCATAGTTAAAATATAATGGCTGATAATTGTGTTCTAGATCTGCAGGGTCTCAAGGTCTGCAGTATCTTCCTGGAAGAGACTACTTGATGTCCTAAGTGATAAAGTGGAAGATTTTGGCTTAGAATTTGAATCAGAATGTAAAGCATTCCTAGCATGTGAATAATCCAACCAGAGAAAATCATATTTAGACCTTCCAGTGTACACTCTCTAAAGGACTGACATCAAAAAGGGCAACCGGTGTTATTCCATTTGAGTCTACCCATTATATTCGAGCACTAAAATGTTGGAAAGCTTTTTAATTCCTTTTTTTTTTTTTTTTGGCTTTAAGTAAAAAACAATGCAAACAATTATATATAAAAATCAAATTATATACCATTAAAATTTAAAAATCATTCTCCTATTTTCAAAGCCATAGATGGAGTTTTTTTTCTCCTGCCACAACTTCTAGCAGATTATGAAGTTTAAATTTTTTGCATGACCTGAACCAAGTTCTGGCAAAAGAGATGTTCTTTCAGTAGTCAGTGGCATTCCTCCTAGACCTACTTTTCCTAAGGTATATATTTTAAGTCCATAGTGTTGGTATTCACCAAGATATGTAAACTAAGAATCTCGGAATCATCTTTGATTCCTTTTCTTGCTTACCCCCCACATCTAATAAAGCAACAATTAATAAGTCCTATTGGTTTAATCTTCCAAATATTCCCTGAATCCATCACCTCCTCTTCATTCCTGTGCTACTCCCCCAGTTCAGGCTTTCACCAGATTAATGCAGTAGCCTGGTTTCTGCCCTCTCTTCTCCTTTAGTCCACTGCATACATTCTGACCAGTTATCTTTTTCTAAAACACAGAATTGTTCATGTCATTCACTTACTTAATTCTCAATAGTTTTCTGGTTTTATGATAAAGCCTAAATTAATTGGGATACCATTTTAAAGACTTTGTTTGTTTTTGAGACTAAGTTTTGCTCTGTCACCCAGGCTGGAGTGCAATGGCACAATCTCGGCTCACTGCAACCTCCGCCTCCTGGGTTCAAGCGATTCTCCCACCTCAGCCTTCCGAGTAGCTGGGATTACAGGCACCCGCCATTTGTATTTTTGTAGAGACGGGGTTTCACCATGTTGGCCAGGCTGGTCTCGAACTCCTGACCTCAGGTGATCCACCCGCCTTGGCCTCTCAAAGTGCTCGGATTATAGGCATGAGCGACCACGCCCGGCCTAAAGGCTCTAAATAAGCTAACCCCAATCCAAATATTCGTTTTAACTTGCCCTTTTTGATGGACCCCACACATTGAGCTCTACTCACACAGCAGTTTTTCCATTCAGTGATATACCAGTGACTCATGCCTCCACACCCTGCAAGTATAAGTTACTTCTGCCTAGAATTCCCCTTCTCCTCCACCACTGATGAAATGCTACTTGCCTTTTTAAAGCTCAGCTGAAATGTGACCTCTTTTATGAAATCTTCTTAGAGGTAACAGAGCAAAGTGGTTAAAACATAGGCTATAGAAGCCTAAGGATGTAAGTTTGAATTCTATTACTTTTTAGATATATAATTTTGGTGAAGTTATTTAACTTCTTTGTGCCTCCATTTGACTCCTATTTCACATTAAGTTTATTGTAACATCTATTATAATAGATCCAGCCCAGAGACTCCTTTCTCACATGAAGTCTATCCTTCTTAGCATATATATTTTTAATGGCCTACAAAAACAACAATTGTATGATCATTTTTCCTTTGAACTTTATTAGTAAAAATATCCTATTGGTATTCAGTGCTTAATGGTCAGGTTTCCATTCATACAGTTTCTCTGATGCACTCTTATTAAATAGCAATTACAGTAGCAAGGAGATTGTATAATAGAAAAACATACGGTATGCATTTCAAATTTAATTCTTTCAAAATGTAAGTTCTGTGTCTTGGGCATAACACTTTACCCCCTCCTCAATTCAGCTTTACTAATTTGCTCACTACATTAAAAAAAAAAAAAAAAAACTTCCACCAAAAATATAGTTGTTTCTGCGTGATAAAATTGTAATTTTTAAATTTAATATTTTAAAATTTTTACAGGATTTCTGCAATGACCATTCTTATTCCCTCAATTTGGTCCTAAAGCCAAAACTTCAAGAGCTATGTGAGATGAGGATGGTCTCCTCCAGAGAGAGGGGAAGCCCAGTATGGAGTATGGAAGCTCAAGTGAGGTGAGGAAGATGTTGCAGAGGGGCGCATGGGTGTGGGTGTATATTTAAAATATGCGTGAGTGTGTGTGTGTGTATGCACACATAAAGCCCCCTAGCATTATCTATTGAGAAAGAGTAGGGTGAGACATCTCAATAATAATAAGCACATCTCATGCACAAATCTTGATTTCTAACTGCCAATTTCACTAAAAGGTGGAGGAATGGCTGATTCCAGAGCTGGGGCAAGGCAAGTACAAGATGACCTTGGAAAATCCTGTTGTGCCCAGAATAAATTGCTGTAAAAATGATGGGAACATGCCAAAACGACACAGGAGACAACCTGAAGAGGCTACTTCTGACCAAATTTGGGATAATTTGAGATTTGGTAAAATGACAGATTATAATTAGTTGAACAGAAAACTATGAATACATAGTGATATCAAGAGAATTCTGATTAGTATATATATATACACACACACACGTGTGTATATATACACACGCGTGTATATGTACACACACGTGTATAAACACACGTGTATATACACACACATATGTATATATATACACACACACCACACATATACATATATTTTTATATATATTAATATTATATATATATATATATATATATATATAAAGGATGGCTGGTTAAGGTGGCTCACACCTGTAATCCCAGGACTTTGGGAGGTTGAGGTGGGCAGATCACTTAAGGCTAGGAGTTTGACACCAGCCTGACCAACACGGCAAAACCCCATTTCTACTACAAATAGAAAAATTGGCCAGGCATGGTGGCATGTGCCTGTAGTCCTAGCTACTTGGGAGGCTGAGGTGGGAGAATCGCTTGAACCCAGGAGGTAGAGGTTGCAGTGAGCTGAGATCACGCCACCGCACTCCAGCTTGGGCAACAGAGCGAGACTCTGTCTGCAAATAAATAAATAAGGGGGACCTATATATGTCTGTATCTATTAATATATATCTACCTCCAAAATATTTACAAAGGGAAAAGTAATAGTTTTAAAGTGGAGAAGCCTGGTAAATAGTACCTTAAGAAAGTGATAAAAATGAACATCATCAGAAATGGGGCAAATTGAAATTGTGTACTATGTGATAGGATGCAACAATAACACAGAGTTGCATCCGTGGTATGTCTGCCAAAAAGCACAAACAGAATCTAATTACGTGGAAACAGAAATCCAAATGTAGGGGTGTTTTACAAAGTAACTACCCTATAATCTATAAAAATGTCCAGAGTCAAAAAAGTCAAGGAAAGACTGTGGAACTGTGTCAGAATGAATGAGACTAGAGCCACTACAACCTAAAGCAATACATGATTTTGAACTGAGATCCTTAAAAGGAATTAGGACAGCTAGTAAAATGATTGGTGTCTGAGGATTAGATAGTAGTAATATGTCAATGTTAACTTCCCAATTTTCATGTATTGTAGTTATACTGAAGCATTCTTTCTTCTTGGAAATACAAAAGTATTGGAGGGTGGTGCAGCATCATGACAGCGACTTATTCTCAAAAGGGAAAAATTTTATTTGTACAGTATTTACAACCCTTCTGTTAAGTCTGATTGTTTCAAAAATTTTTCTTTAAAAAGCAGAATGTAGAACACTAATCAGTAGATTCTTATTAGAGTTGATAAAGGAATTCAATGTGATATATAACTAAGAAAACATAATGTTAATCATGGTAAACTTTGTTCAATTCCTGTGTCCACTGTGCACATGTTCTTCAAAACTGTTTTGGTTTTGTTATTAATTTCCTTTGAAATTTTTCTCATGCAAGACTTTCAGAATCTTGTTTACACACATGCACACACACACATAATTGGGATAGCAAAATGTTCATAGATGCTGTAAAGTTGTGTGAATTCTATTTTTAAAATAAAAAAATGTACATATTACTATAAAAATAACTTCTCCCCCTTGTGGCAAAAATTGAAAATACATTCTACTGGAGAACTTAAGAGAGGCACTTAGGTATTATTCCTTATAAAATATTTTCACATAACTTCATGTGAATCCCCCATGTTATCCTCTAAATGGTACACAGTATTCACAAACAATATGCTTAGAGGTAGCTTCACAGTTTTCTTTACATCCAGCATTGTCCAGACTCTATTTGGATATTTTCTATAGCAAAAACCTAAAGGTTATTTATTTTTCTAAAAACAGGGACTCACTATGTTGCCCAGAGTGGTCTTGAACTCCTAGCTTCAAGTGTTCTTCCCACCTCAGCCTCCCAAGTAGCTGGGAAGCTGCAGACTTGATAAAAGTGCTACAATAAAAGGCCAGAGTTGAAAGGAACCAGTTACAGTATAAAGATTAAAATGATAGGCAGGCAAAGAGGGATGGCCTCACTTAGAGGCACCTGCCAATTTAAGATTACAGGGGCATCAGGAAGGCTTCTCACCTCTCAAAGTTTAATCTCAAAACTCTGGAAGTCCACCAATGGAGACTAATTCCTTTGTTAGTTCTATCCAAACTTCACTTAGTTTATTAACATAAAGATAACTGGAAGGGATACGACACTTTCTTCATTTAAGATTCCCAGTGGTGAAAACAAAGAAAGTCACTCATTGGAACTATAAATGAAACTTAGCTTTCTTATTCCAGGTTCCTACTTCCTTCCTTAACCCTCCATATTTCCTCCTATTAAGTCACTAGGCACTTATAATTCTACATTTTACTGACCTTTCACTGATTATAAAGTAATTTAAGTGATTTTTGAAAGTAAACTTAATTCCAGTTTCAGACTTTTAAATTAAAAGTGGCTCAGTTGGATACTGTCTCTTAAACACAGTAATATAAATATTAGTATCTTGGCTAAAATGAATTATTGACAATTTTAATACATGTTGCACAGTACATATTAATATAGAAAAATACATGTTATCAGCAGCATGATGTTGACCATGTTCTAATCCATTCCACCTGCTCAAATATTAGTGCAAATAATTATATATTTGTAATGCATCACTGCTGTCTAGCAAAATCTATGCCTTCTGAATAAATGACTTTCCTCTGAGGTTGACTGCTATGTGAAGTATGATGTGATATATTCCTATTTAAACTGGCTTTGTATGGTGAGGCAGACTGCAACCTTCTAAACCACTTAGAAAATGGGCGAGTGTGTTTAATTACTCATCTTTCCCCCCAAAAGTCGATAATCACAAAACAAAGGTTAATGGTACCTATCAAATAATAATGATAAAATACCTCGGGTCTAGTTCAAAAATAGGAATTTTGTTAAGCCCAGGGGCAGCCTAGCTGCTTTAATTTGGCAATTAAAATTTCTGTTCTCTAAATGTCAGGTTTCTGTCCCCTATACATTTGAACAGTTGTTTCCTCCCTAAATTTGTAAAGAGAAATGATTGATCACTGGTAGAAATAAAAGGTAAGAGTTATGACAGCTTTTAAAACCCTTAACATGCAATTCTGATTACATGAAAATGACTATCTACTGTTAATATACTAAATATTTTGCCTTACATTTTCACTCCAGCATTAGTCATTTAAAAACTACCAATGTACTAAATAGTTAACACAATTGGCAAGCCTATGACATTTAAAATAGTTTTTGAACATAAAAACACTGATTTCTTCATATCTTCCAAGGTAGAGTTGTCATTTACTTCTATGTCACAAAATATAGTACAAAATATTTGGTCTCTTTCTATTGTGAAAATTATCAAGCTGGAAAAGTATATAAAATAATACCAATAAAGATTTGTGATAGACATATTTCTATTAGGTACAAACTTAACATTAAAATTTCATGACCACTTATAATATTTAAAAAATCAAATTTAAAAAGTATGACCATACATTGAACATATTAAGAAAAACACAACAGTAAATTAGATATTGACCCTGTATGCCAACTTTGTAATATAAATACTACAATAAGAATCATATTGGAAGCAACGATTAAGCAAAACTAATGAACCTATCAAACTAAAGGATCTATTTAACGTTACGTAAGGAGAATAGCATATAGAACCTAAAAGTGAGTGAGAAAAGATTTAGGTTTCAATCTGAGCATTTTACTAGCTGTAGACCTTGACTGGTCTACTTATCTTTCTATGCATTAGGTTTTTCATCTGTCAAATGGAAATAATAGTACCCAAATCCTAGGGTTGCTCTAGAATCCAATAATATGTGCAAAGGACTTATTAGCACAGTGTGTGAGACTTAAATCAATACATGTAACTATAATTATCTTTATTATGCAGCAAAATTTTTTAAATTGCTAACTTTTAACTTCATGTAGAATTATTCAGTCTAACAATATGAACTGATCTTTTCTTCTAAAGTATAGAATAATTACAGGATAGATCAGAGAGAAATAATACAGAAACTGAATATAGTTAAACTAATTGAATGAAAGCACAAAATGCTTTGTATGTAAAATTCAACAATATATGGGTAATGTGCAGAATATTTTTGCGTTAAAAAAAGTTAATCTCCCAGATGTGAGCTTTGTTAGTCACCAACAAATTATGTACTGACTGAACTGCTGTCTCTCAAACACAGTTCAAGCATGCCTTAGCCACTACCTTAGGTACTTGACCACTTTAAGGGGTTTTGTGGCATTTCAAAAATCAAAATCTCTTTATCCAGATCCTTGTAAATATTCACCATTACAGGTAAGAAAAACGCATTTTAGGGAAGCAGTGAATTCTCCACTTGGAATCAATCTACTGATTGATAATTAAATTATTTCACTGTGAACCAGAAGGCTAGTATTTAGAAAGCAAAATATTTAGAAGTGAAAGAGGGGGGAAAAAAGAATGATCTACAATGTAATATAAATTAACCTAATTTAAATTAGATTTTAATTTAACCTACTTTGATAGTTTTTTAAAACAAGGAAGATCCTAAGGACTTGCAACTATGGCAATCCTCAAAATGGGACCAAAAATTGTCCTGGAATGGTCAGGTGGTCATCCATCTAAAGATCCATCCAGCTACTATTTAATAATTCTTCATAAGGACACTTCATCTACTCTGGTTGACTGTCATTTTCAACATCATAATTTACATAAGGTAGGCTTCCTTTATTAAATTCGTATTCTGTATTTCAGATATTTCTCAATTTTAGAAAAACAATGCACAGTGTGTTAAGAGCATATTTTCAACTTCATTCAATGCATTACCTAAATACTGCATATTAGCTCATGCGGTATTGTGTAATACTGCAAAGACCGTACTTACGTAAATGTTGGTTAAAGTTACCAATTATACAAAGCTCCACTCTCTACCTAAAATTTTACCATGTGCAAAACGAAAAACATTTTAGTTATTGATCATCTCTTCTGAGCCATACACTTTGGGCAAAATTTTGTGATGGCTATAAATATGAAAACACTTAAAAAATCAGAATACAAAGAATGCATATTGCCTCACATGACACATTTTTTTTTTTCCCTCAGAGAAAGACCATCTGTTTAGGATAAATTTCTAGTCTTGTTTATATAGTCAAGTATTTTTTGCTAAAAAAGAAAATGAGAAGACCTGTGCTGTGAAAAATTTTAAAAATCTCAAATTTTTAAATAAAAAATCATTTATAAAATTCAGGATGGATGGCTCTAAAATATAAAAAGAGTGAAATAAAAAAAACAACTGCAGGGAATTTGTTTATTGAGCATTAATGTTAACACTTTTAAATTAAGTATTCACTTACGAATTTTGTCACTGTCCTATCAACGGACATAATAGAAAATATTGCACAGAACTCAAACATGAAAATAATAAACAAAATAACTAAGCAACAAGTATATGCTTTACATTTTAAAAATTAATCCAAACAAAATAATTTGAAGCACTTCTCTGATTTGGAAGTCTTAAAATGTTATCTCATGTTTTATTTGAGATTTTTTTTCGTTTTTTCTTTTTTACAAATTGACACTGTACAAAGAGCTTAAATGGCCAGTAAAACTACTGCCTTAAAATTGTTGGCTTTAAGTAACAGAGGTAAAATTTGAATTCACATCAGAGCTTTCTAAAATGGCAATAGTACAAGCAAATGACTTTCTCTAGTATCCAAAACCTGCGCTGGCTCTCCCTTGGCTAGAAACAAGACAGCCTTCTAAAGCTGCCATAATGTCCTAAAATGCTCTGAAAGAAGTTGGTATACTTCATTCCCCAGCTTACCTTGGTAACACTGGACTAAACAGAAAATGAAGAAAATTCAGTCAATAGTAACTTAAACAGTACTAAGTTAGCTCTGGACTTAGAAGGTTTGGTAAAGTTGATGACATTCAGAATAAGGTTCTCAGAAGAAAAGCAGTTTTCCAAAAATAGGCTAAAAAGCCTATATTAAAGAAAAAATGCCAAGAGTGAATTGAATACTTAAGTTTATCTGTTCCTAGAAGACTATGAACACCACAATGGGAGCTGAAACACTATATATAATTTAGAATGCATTCTCCCAGAGCAAGTTTATAAGGTTTATAGAATAGTAATGGCCTTTCTAAATTTTCACTTGATATTTAAAATTTTATAAGTGATTTATTATGTCATCAAATTAAGCCAATTCCATTAACTATATCCAAGTAGGAATAACTTCAGAAATGCTTTGAAAAAGGACAATGACAGACCTATAGACATGAAAAGCAAACAGCCTTTGCAAAGCTCATCTCCAAATCTATCAATTCTCAATTCTTCTTAAAATAAAAGACTAACCACATGTTCAGCCATTCCATCTTATTCAAGTTTAGCATTACGACAGAAATCTCAAAGGGCTGCATGTTGCTAAACACTGTCAGTATTTCCTATATGCACCATTTAGACTATACCTCACTTTTTTTTACTTCCCTTATAATATTAAAATAATGAATAAATATGGTCCTTTAGTTAAGGTCCTCCACCTTAAGTGAAATACAAAATAAGGTAGTTTTATTAATTTCTTACTAGAATTGGCTTAAAATCTATTTACCAAATAAGAAATAGTAAACTTTTAAGTTTTACCCAGAAAGCAGAAGTATTCCGATCCACTCCTAATGTCTACATAAAATAGTTCATCATTTTAGTTCAGTTTATGACATTTTTTGGACTAGTATTAATGCTGTACCTCAGAAAAAAATCCAATCAACCAACTGCAGAAAGTATGCTTAATTGTTAACCTTTTGAAAGAGGCAAAAAAATTATTTACGAAAACCTAAAATAATCTGATTAACAATTGATGCTGAAAAGGTCATTAAAAACTGAGGAATAACAAATGTAGTTTTCCTGTATTTCACCTATTATTAATGGAAAACAGAATGGCAAAATTTCTAAATGGAATATGTTAAAAGTACAAGAACCGAAAACACTGGTAACATTTCCTTTGCCTTCTGACAGCAACATTTTCTAGGATAAAAACAGTGACATGTAGTTTTAGAGAATCTGAAATTTCTACATTCAAGAATGGAATTAAAATTCAATGTGAGGGGAAAAAAGCAAAATATAGCTAGTGGTATCCAAACTTTAAATAAAACCTCAAAGGTAAGTATGGCTGCTGTTTTGTTCCAGTCATTGTTTCACAAAATGTTGGCTGTGTCATAAGGTATCTCCTGTGCTTTCTATCAACCGAGGGCTGCTGAAGTATAAGACATTCCTCTGTAAAGGAACTGACACTGAATTCCTTTGTAAATTCAATCTCAGCTGAAGTGTCGAGCAAGGCGGGCAGATCTATAATCAGCACGAAGTTGTACGAAGGAGTGAAGTATATTCTTGTCCAGATTAGCAAGTTGTTCTCCTGAGCAGACTTGCTTTAAATTATCTGGGGCAACTACCAGAAGATTGCAAAGAGCATGCAGAGTATCAAAAAGATGTAATACCATTGGAATCTGAATTGAGAGAAGAAAAAAAGTAACATTGAAACAAAACAATTTCCAGTTTTACAATTAGCTTGTAACTTTTTACATACTGTCAGGTGGGACTTACTAGTGTGGGTGAAGTTCAACATATTAGAATTTTTTAAAGATCACAATGCATTAAAACTTAAAGATTTCAGTAGTTAAATAAACTTGCTATAATATTTCAAAAAGATTCATGTGTCAATTCTCTTCAATAGTAACAATCATATATACTTCAGAGGACTAAAACTAGTTATTAACATACAGCATTTTTCATAATTTAAATGTTACAGAAATATTCAGGGGGACATAAATGAAGACAACATTTTTTTCCTAATGTGTGACATATATAACATTAGTCATGGATGTCAATAAGTCAAAGACTGTGGAACTGAAAATACACCATAAAGCAAAAATGGGTTTAATATTAAATATATGGGCCAGATGTGGTGGCTCATTCCTGTAAACCCAGCACTTTGGGAAGCTGAGGCAGCAGATCACTTGAGCCCAGGAGTAAGAGACCAGCCTGGGCAACATCATGAAACTCTTTGGAAAAAAAATAAATAAAAATTTAAAATTTAAAATAAAAAAAAATAATAATTGGAACAACACTGTTTCAGGTAGAATGTGATAATCTATCTCATACAATATCAACAAAAGTTATAAACCTTTCACTAATTATAAGTAAATAGTGATTTTTAATAATCTGACTTATGCTCCTGGGCCTATTTGCAAGTTTGATGTTTTTGTGTACACATACCTTGAAGTCTTTGGCACACTTCCTATATTCGGCTACATCACAAATGGCCAACATGCCACCCATACAACTGTAGGAATATTGTTGAAGATGCTCATAGATAAGTCGATGAAAACGTACTCCAAGTTCCATCAAAACTGTATCCACATTCTTCCCATCCATGGAATTTTTAATCTTCTCCACTTGTTTTCTTACGTAAGCACAGACTTTTACACAGGCCTATAAAAGTTTTTCTACACTCATTACACAGGAATGTATACCAGCTTAGCTAAAGAGGAAATACAGTTTCTCATTAATCTTTAAGTATAAAAGAAAAAAATCTAGGGCACAGTAGGATACACCAATGAAAATGTTAACAAAGTATTAACAAACTGAATGATTTTACTCACATTAGTATATTGAATCAAAACATTGTTTTCATCTTCTGGCTTAAAATCTGTTTTCTTCTGTTCTGCAGCCAAAATATGCTTCATCTGTCCAATCATACAATTTAATGTCCTAGAGAATTGAGAATACAACATTCTTTAACCCATCTAACTTACTCTATGTTTATGTTTAATTATATTATTTATGCTAAATTAAATCAGTTATTTAATTTCCTATCACCATGAAACTCTTTTACTATTGGTAAACTTTAGATATTAGAAAAAGTCAGCTCTAGGTCTTAATATGAAAGAGCTCTTGGTTTTATTATCTGTCTGCTCAAAACAGAGGGCAAAAATTCTTTGTGCAATACTTCAAGATTCAAAGATCTCAGAAGTCTGTCATTAATTTAATTCCTTAACAACTAAGGATTTTCAAAGGCAAAACCATATACAAGTTGAGTATCCCTTTCTCAAAATTCTTGGGACCAGAAGTGTTTTGGATTTTGAAATTTTTCAGATTTTGGAATATTTGTACATACATAATAAGATATCTTGGGGACGGGACCCATTCTAAACACAAAATTCATCTATGTTTCATATATATCTTATACATGTAGACTGACGGTAATTTTATAAAATATTTTAATAGTTTTGTACATGAAACGTTTATGTTCATTGAGCCATCAGAAAGCAAAGATGTCACTATCTCAGACACCCATGTGGACAATCCGTGGCTGTCTGGCATTACCATCACTCCTGACTCTGAATTTATATGCTACCAATAAGCAATCATTTTCTTATACTCACTCACACATAAGTACTTAACAGTAAAAAAGATGACATGTCATTCATACAGAGAAAAAATAAGATATTTAAGGTAACCAAACAGCACAGTAACATAACCACAATACCTGTTTGCCTGTTAAACAACAACAATGTAGCAGGTTTTCAGTCTCCACCTACCATGCTGTGCTTTCATGAAAAGGTTACTCTATCCTATATTTTATTTTTTTAGGTGACAAGAAACAACAGAAGCAATTGAGAGACCAGAAAGCAGGACCTCTTTGGATGAGGAGATATTCTGCTGGATGGCTTCTTAAAAGTTTCCTCTGGAATTATCTGCCTCATTAATAATGGTTTTTGTCTTAGAAGTCTCTGTTTGATTTTGTAAACTGATATGACTTATTGTTCTGTTATGAATGTACACTGCTGTACCTTTAATAAGTCCATTGCACATTTTCACCATGTAATCTATAGGCATTTTTTCTGCAGTGTTAGCAACGTCACCTTGTCACTATTATCACAATCACCTTGATTTGGAACCATTTTGGCTATTTCACTACCAGTCCATGAATGAGCAACTGGAGTCTCACTGATGTTAAAAAATTCTTTTGATATTCACTTCATCCAACTTACTGATGGACTCTAAATGTATTATTTTTTGTATATGTAAGAAGTCAGACGTCACTTTTTTCTCACTTGAAATATGGAAATCTTCAAAGTCACCACCTTGTTCATCCTCTTCACTGAACATAGTTGAAGGCCAGAGGTTGTGCCAGGCATGCATAACTGTCTTTAGTTACTGTGTTCCAAGCACTGGCAACAGCATATACAGCATCTTTCATGCTCAGCTCATTTTGAAAACCTTCCATACTCCTGCCTCTGTTCACCGTTGCTAGTATGCTGTTCAAGAAAGTGTTCTAAGAGGCCGAGGTGGGAGGATCACTTGAGGGCAGGAGTTCGAGACCAGACTGGCCAACATGGTGAAACCCCGTCTCTACTAAAAATACAAAAATTAGCCAGCCATGGTGGTGGGTGCCAGTAGTCCCAGCTACTCAGGAGGCTGAGGCAGAAGAATTGCTTGACCCGGGAAGATGAAGTTGCAGTGAGCTGAGATGGCATCACTGCACTCCAGCCTGGGGCAAGACTCTGTCTCCAAAAAAAAAGTGTTCTGAGACAGGGTCTCACTCCATCACCAGGCTGGAATGCAGTGTGATGATTGCTCACTGCAGCCTGGACCTACCAGGCTCAAGTGATCCACCTACCTCAGCCTCCTGAGTAGCTGGGACTACAGGCACATGCCAGAACACCTGTCTAATTCTTAAATTTTTTGTGTGTAGAGACAGGGTCTCACTATGTTGCCTCAGGCTGGTCCCAAACTCCCGGGCTCAAGTGATCCTCCTGCCTCAGCCTCCCAAAGTGTTGGGATTATAGGCCTGAGCCACCATGCCCACCCAAGAAAGTGTTTCTATATTTACTCTTCATTGATCTAAAGAAACCTTGGTCAGAAGACTGAATAAAGTCACATTGGGAAAGAGTATGACACGAACAGTTGTCAAGGAATAACAAAATCTTGTAGTTGTTATCCAGTCCAGCTTCCCTGCAGTATGTGTAAGCCACTAGTACAAAATGTTTGTAAAACCAATCAGAAAAGACATCCCTGGTTATCCATGCCTTTTTGTTAGCATAACGGTGGACCCAACAAGAAATTCCCTCCTTTGAAACAATGAAGATGCAAGCTTTAGCCTATTACAGCAAGCTTACACTTATACATGCCTGCTGCATTAGCACACTCTAGCACAGTTACTCTGTCCTTGGCATCCTCAATTTCTGTAGGAGCCATCTTATCACCTGTATTGTCAGTGTCTTCTTGGGGCAGTAATGCCAACATAGTGGTGTTTCATCAACATTATAGACTTATTCTCACACCAGATTTTCATCAGCAACAACCCTGGCAAACTCATTAAGGAATTTCTCTGCTGCTTCATGACCAGCAGATGCTTTATCACAACAAACCTTTAAAAACATAACGCTGTGTCTGTTCTTAACTTTTGGCAAACGGCCCATTGAACAGCCACGATTCCCTTCCATTTTCAATTCATCATGATAGATCTTTGCTTGTTTCATGATCACCATACCATTAAGTAGCAATGTATTCATTGCAATGCTGATAGATCCACTCTTTCGATACATAATCAAGACCTTCACTTTTAACTTTATGCAGTGTTTTTATATTTTTCATTAACTTCTGTTCATCACTTTCAGCACAGAGTTTCTCCTTCTGTTTCTTCAGGTAATATATGGTGGTCATTCCAATACCATACTCTTCTGTAAGACATTTCACACTTACACCGCCATCCTGTTTGTCCAGCAGCTTTGATAAACGTAAGTGCTGCTAGGCATGGTGACTCACACCTGTAATCCCAGCACTTTGTGAGGCTGAAGTGGAGGATCACTTGAGCCCAGGAATTCAAGAACAGCCTGGGCAACATAATGAGACCCTATCTCTACATATAAAAAAAAAATGGCTGGGTATGGTGGTGTGCAGCTGTGGTCCTAGCTACTCAAGAAGCTGAGGTGGGAGGACTGTGTGAACCCAGGAGTTCAAAGTTGCAGTGAACTATGATTGCGCCACTGCACACCAGCCTGGGTGACAGAGCAAGATCATATCTCTAAACAAATTTTTTTTTATTTTTATATATTTATTTATTTTTTTGAGACACAGTTCTGCTCCTGTTACCCAGTCTGGAGTGCAGTGGCGTGATCTTGGCTCACTGCAACCTCTGACTGCCAGGTTCAAGCAACTCCCCTGCCTCAGCCTCCCGAGTAGCTGGGATTACAGGCTCCTGCCACCATGCCCGACCAATTTTTGTATTTTTAGTAGAGATGGGGTTTCACCATGTTGGCCAGGGTGGTCTCAGTTCGAGACTGAGCCACTGTGCCTGGCCACAAAAAAAATTTTTTTTTAAAGATAAACAGGCTGAGTGCAGTAGTTCACGCCTGTAATCCCAGCACTTTGGGAGGCTGAGGTGGGTGGATCACTTGAGGCCAGGAGTTTGAGACCAGCCTGGCCAACATGGCAAAACCCTGTCTCCACTAAACATACAAAAAATTAGCTGGGCATGGTGGTGCGCACCTGTAGTCCCAGCTACTCGGGAGGCTGAGGCAGGAGAATCACTTGAACCCAGGAGGCATGGGTTGAAGAGAGCCAAGATCACACCAATGCACTCCAGCCTGGGAGACAGTGAGACTCCACCTCAAAAAACAAAAACAAACAAAAAGATAAACATAAAGTTTCCTCTTGTTCTTATCACTGTTAACCTCAGGGGTATCTGTAGGCCTTTTTGAGATTCCACAACATCTTTATACCACAGAGCACAGAATAAGGAGAAAAAAAAGCACACACACAGGTCTTGGCTGCACGTGGGGCATTGTGAGCCACCTACCATTGGCATGTCCAGCCTACACACATGCCATTTTATTATTCTTTGTAGGCATGCTTGTTGTAGGGGGGGATTTGGACATGCACAGAAAATATTTATCACAGCTGAAGAGGGTTGGGTGGGTCTTTTTTCCCTTGTGGATACTCAAATAAACCGTGTGCTGTGCATCTGTATTTTGACTGTGCCCTGTCACATGAGGTCAGGTGTAAAATTTTCCACTTGTAGGGTAATGTCAGCACTCAAAAAATTTCAAGTTTCAAATTTTGAAGCATTTTTATTTCGGATTTTTGGATTGGGGTGCTGAATGTGTACAGAATGCTGCCGGTGGAGATAGGGAACTTATGAAGAATGGCCAAGGTTGGGAAAAACAGGTAGGAGCAACACTGAGTCTCACAGTACAAGGACAATCAGAAGGATGGATAAGCGGTACTAAAGATCCAACTGAGAAATGAGAGCATAGATTTGCAGTGGTACCAATAACGTACATGTTATGTGATATTCTCCAACAGTGAGGAGTCAACCAGTTATGGGAATAAAAGAGACTGCATCTATCAGAGGTTAGGGTCTGTAAGACAGTTGTGATTGAAGGAAATGTACTTTAGGGTATTTCAAGAAAGTAATTCAAAAGATGGACCAAGTGATATAAGCACAATAACTAAAGAAATAAAGCTAGGAAAAGGATAATAGATTGGCATAAGATGAAGAGATTAAGAGACAGAGGTCCTGCTGAAGTCAGAAAAATCCCAGGACCAGATGGCCTTACTAGTGAATTCTACCCAACATGAAGAGAAGAATCGGCTGGGCGCAGTGACTCATACCTGTAAGCCCAGCACTTTTGGAGGCTGAGGCGGGTGGACTGCCTGAGGTCAGGAGTTCAAGACCAGTCTGGCTAACACAGTAAAACCATGTCTCTACTAAAAATACAAAAAAATTAGCAGGGTGTGGTGGTGTGTGCCTGTAATTCCAGCTATTTGGGAGGGTGAGGCAGGGGAGCTGCTTGAACCAGGGAGGTGGAGGTTGCAGTGAGCCAAGATCGTGCCACTGGACTCCAGCCTGGGCAACAGAGGGAGACTCCGTCTCAAAAAAAAAAAAGAAGAAGAAGAATTAACACCAATCGTTCTCAAACTTTTTCAAACAATGGAAGAACTGATTACACTTTCAAACTCATTTTACAAAGACAGCATTACAGTGATACCAAAGCCAGAGAAGGACAATATAGGAAAGAAAATTACAGGCCAATATCCCTGATGAATAAAGATGTAAAAAAAAAAAATAGCAAACTGAATTCAATAGCACACTGAAAGGATCATACACCATAACCAAACAGAGTTTATCCCTGAGATTCAAGGATGGTTCAGCATATGCAGATCTATAAATGTGACAGACCACATTAACAGAATGAAGGATAAAAATCACATAATTGTCTGATGATGTGAAAAAAAAAACGCTTCTGGTAAAATTCAACACTCTTTCATGACAAAGACTTACAAACAAATTAGGTTTGAAGGAATATACCTAAAGATAATAAAGATCATATATGACAAGCCCACAACTAATATCAAAGTGTGAAAAGCTCAAAGTGAAAAGCTCAAAGCTTTTCCTCTAACATCAGGAACAAGAACAAGGATGTCCACTCTCACTACTTCTATTCAACACAGTAGTGGATGTCCTAGCCAGAGCAGTTAGGCAAGAAAAAGAAATAAAAGACATCTAAATTGGAAAGAAAGAAGTAAAACTGTCTCTTTGCAGATGATATGATCTTAGATAGAGAAAACTCTAAAGACTCCATCAAAAAATAGAACTAATAAACAAATTCAGTAAAGTTGCAAGACAGAAAATCATCATACAAAAATCAGTTGTTTTTATACATTATCAGCAAACTATCCAAAAAAGAAAGAAAAAAAATCCCATTTACAATAGCATGAAAAAGAATAAAATATTTAGGAATTAACCAAGGAAGTAAAAGACTTATACACTGAAAACCATAGAACATTGCCAAAAGAAACAAGTAAATGGAAACATATCCCGTGTTTAGAGCTTGAAAGAATATTGTTAACCTGTCCATACTACTCAAAGCAATTCAATGCATTCCCAATCAAAATTCCAAAGGCATTTTTCACAGAAATAGAAAAAAAAAAAACACTAAAATTCTTATGGAACCAGAAAAAATCCTGAATAGCCACAGCAATTTTGAGAAAGAACAAAACTGGAAGCATCGTACTTCTTGGTTAGAAAATATATCATACAGCTACAGTAATTAATGCAGTATGGTACTGGCATAAAAACAGATACACAGCCCAATGGAACAGGATACAGAGCCCAGAAATAAATCCATCCATTTATGGTCAACTGCTCTTTAACAAGGGTGCCAAGAACACACAATAGGGAAAGGATAGTCTCCTCTATAAATGGTTCTGGAAAACTGGATATCTACACACAGGAAAATGAAATGACACCCTTATCTTATACTCTACACAAAAAAACCCAACTCAAAATGGATTAAATTTAATATAAGACCCACAACTATAAAACTAGTAGAAGAAAACGTAAGAAAAAAGTTTCTTGACATTGATGTTGGCAATGACCTTTTGGATATGGCCTCAAAAGCACAGGCAACAGAAACAAAGACAAATGAGACTGCATCAAACTAAAGAGCTTCCGCACAGCAAAGAAAACCATCAACAGCCTATGAAATGGAAGGAAATATTTGTAAACCATACATCTCAGAGGTGTTTAACACTCCAAACATATAAGGAACTCAAACAACTCAATAGCAAAAAAATAAATGATCCAATGATTAAAGGCAAAGAACCTGAATAAAAATTTTTGAAAGAAGACATACAGATGGCTAACAGGTATATGAAAAGGTGCTCAACATCACTAGTCATCAGGAAAACGCAATCAGTTATCACTTCACACCCGTTAGGATGGCTCTTTTCAAAAAGGCAATAGATAACAAGCGTTGTCAAGAATGCAGGTAAAAGAGGACATTTGTACACTGTTGATGGGGATGTAAATTGGTACAGCCATTAAGGAAAAGTACAGAAATTCCTCAAAAACTTAAAAACAGAGCTACTATATGATCCAACAACCCCATTTCTGAATATCCAGGCATACCTTGTTTTATTCTGCTTTGTTTGACTGTGTTTCACAGATACTGTGGTTTGTTTTGTTTTTTTACAAGTTGCAGGCTTATGGCAACGCAAGTCTATCCGTGCCACTTTTCCAACAGCATGTGTTCACTTTGTGTTTCTGTGTCACATTTTGGTAATCCTTACAATATTTCAAACTTTTTCATTACTGCTAAATCTGTTATGGTGATCTGTGATCAGTGATCTTTGATGTTACTATTTTAATTGTTTTGGGGTACCATACCCATATAAGACAGTGAACCTAATTGACAAATGTAGTGTGTGTTCTGACTACTCCAGATAATGGCTGTTTCCCTGTCTCTCTGCCTCTCCGTGGGCCTCCCTATTCCTTGAAACACAGTAACATTGCAATTAGGACAATCAATAATCCTACAATGGCCTCTAAGTGTTCAACTGAAAAACGTCACATATTTCTCACTTTAAATCAAAAGCTAGAAATGATTAAGCTTAGTGAGGAAGGCATGTTAAATGCCAAGATAGTCCAAAGTAAAAAACTTCAGGATCCAATAAAAACAACACTCTAATAAGGATGAAGGCAATATGTAAAAATAAAATCAAATGTAGCAATATGGTGGAATTAAGATAAATATTTTTCTTCTCTACAAAGTATTTTCATGCTGCTATAATATGGTGTTTTTATAATTTAAAAAAATGCAAGAGACAAAACCAACAACTTGCCTATCAATGCCAGTATCCAATTTCATCTCCATTTGTTCAATTATTTCTTTTTTCTTCTGAAGGCATTCAGATAACTTAGGAGAAGAGCTATTGTATATTTAAAATGGAAAAAGAATCATATTAATAGTCTAATATTTTCTAAAAGTTTTTCATACACCTATGTGTATTACATTATATACATTTATAAATATATCCATATATACACATTAATATTGTTAACAAATCCAAGAAGCATATAAGAAGCAAAGTAATTATTTAGCATTCACTATGCCCAATTCATTATAATAGACTAAAAACAACCGATTAAAAGGGAAGGAAGAGGACCACTTAAATTTGTTATTTTGATCTCTGAGGAGACATCTCTCAAGAATATAAATGTGACTTTAAAATTTTGGAATTATTTGGTTTTCTTTATAAACAAATATCTAGTGTAATACCAAGAAAAGTTATAGACTATCATCACCAGAGTTTTAAGAATACAGTAAATCATACTATAAAATTTGGAGGGTAACAGCCAATCCAGTTGTACTTTTAAAAACCAGACAACCATATTTGCCTTCTGAATGCTATCAGAATGTCAAAACATTCAAAATATTAAGAAATAGGCAACCCTAATAATTGTGTGAATTCTCTGCTTTGTGGCATAACAGCTCTTAAAAAGTAAATTTCCTTTCAAAGTATGATTCAGGGATTACAAGTGACTGTTATCTTTGAGACTGTTTCTGGACTAGTCTCGGCATATCAATGTTTACAACAAAATGTCAAAAAATTTTATATGAGTATTTTTCCTCTTACATAATAGTGTTAAACAGATAATTCTGTAAAGCATGTTCACATATACACCATCTTATTTAATTCTCAAATGCTTTATAAGTTCACATAAATTGATATGAAGATATAAACCAAACCTTACTCTAATGCCTCATTAAAATCTGTCCCATTAATCTCACAAAATTTTTTGTATGTATCTTTACATTATAACAAGTGGGTACATGGACTTTGTCTATCGGATCTTTTAAAAGATGTCAAATTTGCTGAGTTTCACTAAGCTGGAGGTCCTCTTTCACATGAGATTTCAGTTTTAGGTTTGTGACAGATTAAATCTTTTGAAATACACCAAAATTAATAATATAGTGGAAAGAGAAAACAGAAATGCAAGAAGAAACAATATCTAATGTTTTATTTCCTAAGAACTTTTATATTTTTATTTCATTTCACTTGTCCAGTTTGACATTTTTTGTGAAAATGTACTTTTTAAATTTAATGAAAATATATATAGATTATGTAGAATGCTATAATAGTCACTGAAATATCAATGAAAATCAGATAATTTGACTAACCTTATTAGTGGCATAAGGTGATCATTAAACTGTTTGTCAAAAAGATGAAAAATAGTATTGGCCTGTTGCACAACGTCCAAAAAATAAAGATTTGCATTCCTAGAATCTGAAGAGGGAATTCCTAAAACCAGAAAGCATACATATGTTAGAATCATCCTTGAAGAAATTCATCTTGGCAACAGAAAAAAAGAATGTGGTTTTTTAATCTGTAACATAAAATAAATGACACCGCTATTTTAATACATCAATAATGACTTCTGTGGACAGAAGAGGAAAATCAAGCTTAAACTTATACTAGTAAAACTCATCCAAAGTTATTTTTATGCCCAATGTTCACCATCTACTTAGCCTTCATGATTCACGTGAGCCATGAATACACCTCCACATATTTCTTATAACCAGGCCTCTTTATCTCTGATAACAGTTCGAATAATTTTCTCATTGGTCTTCCTCATTCAAGTCTCTTTACCTTTTATCCTAGATACTGCTGCCATAGTAATATCCCTAAACTGACACATTTCACTTACTGTGCTCTACACTATCTCCTCAAAAATACTCAAAATGTCCTATCTACAGATTACATTCCTGATTTTATTCTGGAATTTATTCAGAATAAAATAAAAAGGGAATCAAGCCACTCCATATTCTGACCTCAAAATGTCAGCTGACCTCTCTGGATTTCCATTTCCTCCTTTTTGTAAAGAATAACAGATGAACTCTAAGGTCCTAGATGTTTATGTTTCTAGCTAAAAGTAAAAGACTTAAGAGACTAAAGAAAATATGCATAGCTAATGAGAAAATACAGGCTTGACACATAGAGTTCTTTTTAGAACAATGATTTTTTTTTTCTCTTAATAATGGAAAACAAAGGTGTTTCCCTCCGCCCCCCCTGCCCCCGCAAGTAAAAGACAAGATTACCAACTGGTAAGAAAATTGAAGGCTTGAATAACAAATGAACTTTACAAGAGAAAAAAACAAAATCAATACATATGTAGAAAATATGAATCATTGTTATTAATGAAAGACATAAAAATTAAGGCAATATTGATGTACTTTTTTTCTTTATAGGCATCAGAACTCAGCTACAGTGTAAGTTTTTAACCACGAAATTAAAATTTTTAAAGAATATTCAATAATTACAGAAAAACTGGCACACACAAACAGTCCAGCAGCGGCATAAGTTACTGGGAAAAGAAACCTTTAGGAAAATAGCTTAAATCAAAACAAAAAATTCTTGGGAGGCTGAGGAGGGAGGATCGCTTGGAGCCAAGAGTTCAAAAACAGTCTAGGCAACAAAGTAAGACCCCAACTCTACAAAAAAAGAAAAAATTAGCTAGGTGCAGTGGCATGCACCTGTAGTTATAGCTACTCAGGAGGCTGAGGTAGGAGTATTGCTTGAGCCCAGGAGTTCAAAGTTGCCATGAGCCATGACTATGCCACTGCACTCTGGCCTGGGTGACAGAGCGAGATTCTGTCTCAAAAATAAAAATAAAAATAAGGGCATATCAAAATTATTATATATACACACTTTTTTTAATTTTTTAGTCCCTTACTCAGTTTTACTTTTCTTCATTGCACTTTCTAATCATTTGTCTATCTTCTCCATAAGAATATAAACTCCACAAGTACAGGAGTAGGCATTTAATAAGCATGTGTTAAATGAATGAATTCTGATGAGTGGTGGCAGACATTAACAGATAAAAATTTCATTGTGATAAGTGCTATAAAAAATTTAATGCAATGAGAAGATAATAAGGATAACTGGGCTGGGAGAAGAGGGCTACTTTAGCTAGGGTGATGATCAGCAATGCCTCTCTGAGAAGATAACATCTTAGTTGAGATCAGATGATTGAAAAGCCAGCCATGAGAAAAGCTGAGGCAAAAGGATTTTGGGGATAGGGAAACACCAAGTGCAAAGAGACTAAGCAAGGAAAAACAATAAGGGTCAGAGTGACTGAGCAGTGAGAAGAAATGCAATGAGAGATGATCAATACATACCAGGCCAGATAAAAAGTCATGCTTCTCTACAGTTTGCTGTTGTTTTCCCCTTAAGAGTAATAGGAAACCACCACAGAGTTTTAAATAAGGAAATAATTAAACTGGCTGTTAAATGAAGTCAGTAATGTGGAGAGGCAAGAATGTACACAGGGAGACCAGTTACAAGTAGACAGAGATAATGGTGTTTAAATTAGGGTGGCATCAGTGAAGATGGAGAAGAGTACATGAATTTGACTTATGCCTGGAAGTATACTGACAGGATTTGCTGATGGATTGGCTATCAGGATTGATTTCTGAAAAGGAGGAATTGAGGAACTCCTGGGTTTTGTTGGGGATTGAGCAAGTGGGAAATGGTAATGCCTTTTAAAAAACTGACATACAATAATCACGCATATTGGTAACGCCTTTTAATGACAAGGGAAGAATGGGAAAGGAACAGGTTTAGAGGGAAGATAAAGAGTTTCATTTTGGATATGTTAAGTTTGAGATGACCATTGAACAGGTGAAGTAGACAACTGAATTAATGAGACGGGACTCAGGTCATTATTATGCTACCAATACTAACTACTAAGACCAAAAGACCAAAAGCAAAATAAGAATTTTAATTTGAATCTATTTTTTTCCAGACTTAGTTTTTAATACTTCTCTTTCTAAATTTTACATTACTCAATTCCCCAATCAGAATTGTTTTCGCCTTCATTTTGCTCCTCGACATTTTCTAACTTACAGCATTGTAAGACATTGTGTCATACATTGTAGTGACTTAAGTAGCTTATTATTCTATTATGCCATATGTAAACAATATGAGAGAACCATTCAGTATAGCTTTCAGCACCTGGCAAATCCTTGCATTATAAAAGCTCAAACTTCATTGCACCGAACTGAATTTGAGACACAGAGATGATTATAAGCAAAACAACATTATGCATATAGTTTAACCAAGCAGAATCAAAAGAATTTAACACAAGTGTAACACAAATATACTTACCAGCAAGTCCTGTTTCCAAAGCATAATCAATATGCTCAATACATAAAAATTCCACAAGAATGGTAAAAATTCTGAAGGCATTCCTTGGTAAGTCAGAAGGATCAGAGAGCTTAAAAACAAAAATCAAACAATATCACTCCTCAAGTCTACCTTTTGAAAATGCCAATTTTTTTTAAGCAATCAATTTTTTATAGGATGTAGTCAGTGTTTCAGGTATGAAAATAACTCACAGCTCCCCCCATACTGCGTGTGCATGCACAAATACACACACACACAATTACAATGCTCCATATTTATCTACAACTCTCCTGACTTAGAGTAATGTTTTTCAAACTTGGATTGCAATCCATTAGTGAAATCCAAGTATACTTTCATAAAATGTATACCCCCATATATATATATATATACCCCCATATATTATATACACACACATATATATATACACACACACACACATATATATATATATATATGTATACACACACACACATACACACACACATACATACATACACAGGGCTAACATGTAAAATGCATTTCTTACTGTGGGCCAAAGAGGTTTGAGAGCCACTGACTGAGCAAAGAACAGTCTAGTAAAACTCAGAACAAAAAGAATTCTTTGTTTTACTGGGGAGTAAAGATGGAGAAATTAATAACAGATGCACCATAAAATATAACTGGTTCAAATAATGGTTTTACCATTTCCTGATTAAGTGAACCTTTGAGATGTTATTTAACCCCACCATGCCTCAATTTCTTCATTTGTAAGATGGGAATAGTATTAACAGTACTTACATTCTAGCCTTGAGGTAAGAATAAATACGAAAATAAGCATAAAGTGTTTTTAGCACAGTATTTGCACATAGTGAGCTTACAATATTCATTTTGGCGCTGCTGTTGCTGTTAAACTAGCTATTTAGTAAAATTATTAGTTATGCTGGGAAAATAAAATCCTTTTTTAACAGTCAAAAAATTACTCCTGACTTCTTATAATTGCTTTCTATATTATTTATACATTGATTTCTGCTTCTGTCAAACCTATTTGTAGTCTTAATTCATGTGTCCTCTTGGGGTTAATACTTATTATCTGATGTATTAAATTAGAAGTTGATAGGAATTCTATAACCCCCTTTGAATTCCCACTGATTATAAATACTGATTTGGTATTACTCAGCTTCCTTCCTGGTCTTATTAATACTACCCAACCTTTACCCCTCCCTCATCAGTCTCTCTACTCCAATATTCACCCTCCTCCTCTAATCACTGATGCTCAAAAAATGCTCTTACCTTCTTCACAAGCTATTCTTACATTCCTCCTATTTACATCCAAACATCCATGAATAATAGACAGAAGAGGCAGATGGAAAATTGGTAAGGATATAGAAGACTTGAACAACATAATCAACTAAGCCTAACTGACATTATACAATACTCCATCCAACAACATCAGGATATATATTTTTTTCAAGTGCATACAAAAAAGATGGACCATATTCTGGGCTAAAAAAACCACAAGTCTTAATAAATTTAAAATGGGTTCACATCATACAAAGTAAATTCTCTGACCACAACGGAATCAAATTTAAAATCAGTAACAGAAAGACATCTAATAAATTCCTAAATATTTGGAAACTAAATAACATATTTCTAAATCACGTTTGGGCCAGAACAAATCAAAAGCAACATTAAAAGGATTTGAACTGAATAAAAATAAAACACAACATACAAAAATTCTGGGGATGCAGCTAAAGTAGTATTTACAGGGAAATTTGTAAGACAAAACACCCGCATTAGATTAGGAAAGAAGAAAGTTCTCAAATCAATGACCTCAGCTTCCACCTTAGAAAACTAAAAAAACAGGGGGTTTGGGGTGAGGGGTGGGGATAAAACCCAAGTAAGCAGAATAACAGAAGTAATAAAGAGTAGAAATTGATGAATACAAAACAGAAAAACAACAGGGAAAAATTAATGAAACCAAAAGCTGGTTCTTCGGGGGGAAATAAATCAGTAAAATGAATAAATCTCTAGCCAGATTGATCAGAAAAAAAAATAACACAAATTACTAATATTAGGAAAGTGGTGACATCACTGTACGCATTCTACAGCTATTAAAAGGATAAGAAAATATCATGAATATAATTTTATTCCAACAAATTCAACAACTTATGTGAACTACACAAATGCTTAAAACATACAAACTACCAAAGTGGACTTAAAAAGAAGTGGATAACCTGAATTGTTCTGTATCTACTAAAGAAGTTGAATTTGTAGTTTAAAATCCTCACACACAAAAAAATTCAGGCCCAAATGACTTCACTTGTGACTTTTACCAAAGAAAGAAAGAAAGAATACCAATTCTACTCAAACTCTTCCAGAAAATTGAGAGGGGTGGTGGAAATATTTCCCAACACATCCTATGAGGCCAACATTACCCTGATACTAAAACCAGACAAAGACATAAAAAGGAAAAAAAGCTGGGCGTGGTGGCTCACACCTGTAATCTCAGCACTTTGGGAAGCCGAGGCGGGCGGATCACCTGAGGTCAGAGGTTCAAGACCACCCTGGCCAACATGGCGAAACCCTGTCTCTACTAAAAATACAAAACTCAGCCGGGCATGGTGGTGGGCGCCTGTAGTCCCAGCTACTTGGGAGGCTGAGGCAGGAGAATCGCTTGGACTGAAGAGGAGGAGGTTGCAGTGAGCCGAGATCGTGCCACTGCACTCCAGCCTGGGCGTCAGAGTGAGACTCCGTCTCCAAAAAAAAAAGGCCAATATCCCTCATGAACACAGATGTTAAAATTCTTTACAAAAGTTTAGCAAACTTAATCCAACAATATATAAATATGACAAAAGGTCAAAGGTCAATTGATGACCAACTGGAGTTTATCAAAGAAGAAATGCAAGGCCAACATTTGAAAATCAATCACTATAATTTACCATATTAACAGAATAACAAAGTTTTGCATAACATCTAACATCTAATCCTCATAAAACCACTCAGCTAAGTAGGATAAAATAATTTTCTCAATCTGAAAAAGAACATCTATGAAAAACCCAATTAGTATCATACTTAATGGTGAACGATTAAATAATTTATTCTTAAGATCAGAAATAATGCAAAGTGTTCACTCTCATCACTTCTATTCAGCACTGTACTAGAAGTCTGGCCAGTACAATAAGGCAAAATAACAAATAAAAGACATCTATATTGGAAAAAATAAGTAAAACTGTATTTATGGGCTGATAATATGATAATCTACACAGAAAAGCCAGTGGAATCTACAAAAAAAAAAAAAAGGCAAATAGAACTAATAAGTGAGTTTAGTTAGGTTGCAGGTCTGAACCCAAAAGTATCTGAGACAAGTCTCAATCAATTTGGAAAGTTTATTTTGCTAAGGTTAAGGACATTCCTATGACACAGTCTCAGGAGGTCCCGCCAACACATGCCCACCTAAGTTGGTAGGGGCACAGCTTGGTTTTACACATTTTAGGGAGACATGAGACATCAATCAATAGGTGTTATGTACAGTGGTTCTGTCCGGAAAGGCGGGACAACTTGAAGGGGTGAGAAGGTGCTTCCAGGTTACAGGCAGATAAGAGACAAACAGTCGTATTCTTTTGAGTCTTTGACCACCCTTTCACTGAATATACAATTTGCATGTCAGAGGTGGGTAGAGGAATAATCACTTGTGCCTTAATCTGGCTCGGTGAATCTACATTTTTACATAAACAATAGGACAGAGGAAGCAATCAGATACGCATTTCTCTCAGGTGAGCTGAGGGATGACTTGAGTTCTCTCCTTTGTCCTGCAACTGTGAAGATAAGTTATCAATTTACATTGCCAAGGTGAAATTCAATAAAACTGTTTTAGGGGAAAGATCTTGAGGCCCACAAGGAATTCCTATCTTACTTAGGAATAAAATGGGAGGCAGGTTTGCCTGATGCATTTCCCAACTTGAGTTTTCCCTTTGGCTTAGTGATTTGGGGGTCCAGAGATTTATTTTCCGTTCTCACAGGATATAAGAGCAATATATAGAAATCAACTGTATTTCTATAGACTAAGTAAGTTAAACTAGAAATTAAATATAAATCTTAAAAAGACCATTTACATATGCTTATAATGGCATCAAAATATGTGAATTCTCCCCAAATAGAACTACAGAGTCAATGTAATTCCAATCAAAATCTCAGACTTTTTCAGAAACAGACAAGCTATTATAAGACATAATACAAAATGATTTATATAAAAATGTTAGAGGACTTAGGACTTACACTACCCGATTCAAGACTTATTATAAAGTTACAGCAATCAAGACAGTACAGTACAGGCATAAAGACAGACCAATGGAACACAAGAGTCCAGAAACAGACCCACATATAAATGGTCCATTGATTTTTGACAAAGGTTCTACAGTAATTCAGTGCGGAAAGGATAGTCTTTTCAATAAATGAAACTGAAACAACTGGATGCCTAATTGTAAAATTATGAACTTTGATCCACAATACTGTATAACTTAACTCAAAATTGATTATACATCTTAACATAAAGCCTCAAACTATAAAAGAAGAAAACATAGGAGGAAAACTTTGTAACCTTTGGTTAGGCAAAGACTTCTTATATATGACACCAAAATCACCATCCAGAACAGAAAAGTATTATTAAATTGGATGTCATCAAAATTAAGAACAGCTATCCTTAGAAATACTGATGAGAATAAAAAGATAAGCCACAGGCAGAAAAAAAATGTGCAAATCATATCTGATAAATTGTAACAATATAGAGTGCTCCAAAAATAAAACACACGATTGATTTAAAAATGCACAAAAGATCTGAACAAACACTTCACCAGAGAGTATATATTGACGGCAAATAAGCACATGAAAAGATGCTCAACATGAATCATCACTGCATTAGGAAAATGAAAACTAAAACTATAATCAAATATCACTACACACTATTAGTTTGGCAGCTTCCTAAAAAAAAACCATATGATTCAGTCATATCAATACTAAGTATTTTTCAGATTTATTCATGTTGACACATGTAACTCTACTTCACTCATTTAAATTGTTGTATAGTTTTCTACTGTATGAAAAACACCAGTTTAACAATTCTCTTTTTCATGGACACTGAGAGTTTGCTTTTAATTTTTCACCATGAAAAAAATGCTGTTATGATGTTATACATATCACATGAACCTATGAGTTTCTCTAAGAAACTGCCAAATTAATCCTCAAAATAACGGTACCAATTTCACTCCCATTGGCGGTGTGTGACAACTGCTTATTGCTCCACTTCCTTAACAACACTTGGTCATCAGACTTCTTAATTTATCCCAACCTAATGAATAAGTTGCATTTCCCTATTAGTGAGACTGAGTATTGTACTAGTGATTTACATTTTCTTTTTGTAAACTGCGTATGCGTATTCTTTGACTTGTTTTCTATTGATTTATATTCACATGTATAATTTACTGTCTCAATATAAATACAGATTATATACATCAACATAAATAATTAAGACTGCCTCAACTCTCAATCCACTACCTAAAAGCCAAGTATCTCAGTTCTTTATTTGCAAACTAACAACCTCACAGGGTGGTTATATGATGAAATAAGTTTACATACATATATATATACACACACACACACACACACACACACACACGTATGTAAACTACATACAAACAAGATATATATACATACACACACACACACACACACACACTTAAAATGCTTAGAAGAGTGGCACTTCTCAAAAGAAGACATTTATGCAGTTAACAAACATGAAAAAAAGCTCATCATCACTGGTCATGAGAGAAATGCAAATCAAAACCACAATGAGATACCATCTCACGCCAGTTAGAATGGCAATCATTAAACAGTCAGGAAACAACAAATGCTGGAGAGGATGTGGAGAAATAGGAATGCTTCTACACTGCTGGTGGGAGTGTAAACTAGTACAACCATTGTGGAAGACAGTGTGATGATTCCTCAAGGATCTAGAACCAGAATTACCATTTGACCCAGCAATCTCATTACTGGGGTATATACCCAAAGGATTACAAATCATTCTACTATTAAGACACATGCACACGTATGTTTACTGCAGCACTATTCACGATAGCAAAGACTTGGAACCAACCCAAATGCCCATCAATGATAGACTGGATAAAGAAAATGTGGCACATATATGCCATGGAATACTATGCAGCCATCAAAAAGGATGAGTTCATGTCCTTTGCAGGGACACAGATGAAGCTAGAAACCATTATTCTCAGCAAACTAGCACAGGAAGAGAAAATCAAACACCACATGTTCTCACTCATTAAGTGGGAGTTGAACAATGAGAACACATGGACACAGGGAGGGGAACATCACACAGTGGGGCCTGTTGGGGGGGTGGGGGACTAAGGGAGGAATAGCATTAGGAGAAATACCTAATGTAGATGAGGAGTTGATGGGTGCAGCAAACCACCATGGCACGTGTATACCTATGTAACAAACCTGCATGCTCTGCACACGTATCCCAGAACTTAAAGTATAAAAAAAAAAAAAAAAAAGGAGTGTCTGGAACATATTATGTACTATAAAATTATTAGCTACTATTATTTGTTTCATACAATCTTTTGCTAGTAGTATCATTTACAAATACTTTATCACTCTGACTTATCTGTTTATTTTGCTAAACTGTGTTTATTAGAGAGGAAAATCTAAGTTTTAATGGAGCCAAATCTTCACTCTTTCCCTTTGATGTTGATGCTCTTAAAACATTGTTCTTTCCCTGATGCACCATTTCTTCATGAGAAAAGTCTAACTGTCCCTTTCACATCTTCATTTAATCCTACATAACAAAAATTTGATCTGCTCAACTTTAATTTAAAGTTATATTCACATTTATTCCTAATTTTAAAATTATTCTGTTCTCCAAAATAAAAATCCTATCTTTTATTACAAAAAATAGTTGTTCCTAATCAGAGTAAATTTATATCTTAGTAAAACAAGGTAAGACTTAAAATACAACTACATAGTCAGTTCTCTCTAACTGTAAGTTCTGTATCTGTGGGTTCTGCATCAGCAGATTCAACCAGCCACAGATCAAAAAATATTCAAGAAAAAAAAAGAGAATGGTTGCATCTGTACTGAATATGTACTGTCATCATCCCCTAAACACTAAAGTTACAACTATTTACAGAGATTTACGTTGCACTAGGTAATGTAATAATATATATAAATAATTATAAGTAATCTACAGACTAATTAAAGTATAAATGAGGATGTGCATAGAATATATGCAAATACTACACACTTTATATAGCAGACTTGAGCATCCACGATTTTGGTATCCTCGGAGGTTCTGGAATCAATTCCCCACAGATATCAAGGAACAACTGTATATGTAAAATACATTTACAATCACTCTTACCCTATGACATCTTTCAAAGGCTTGTTTGGTTTCTTGTAAAAGATTAACCACCACTTCTTGGGATAGAAAAGTCTCCCCATGAGTATCGATACTTGGCCCAAGTGGTAAGTTGGTACGCTGTCTAATTCTTTCCTTCAAATCTTGAATACTAGTACATCATAAAGACAAATGAAAAAAAGAAAACATTTTACTTAGATTTCAACTTTGAGTACTTCCAAACTTAGTATATATCAACAACAAAAATGGACCAATAGCCAAGAGACCTAATTTCTAATTCCAATAACTAGTTTTGTGAAATAAAGTTAGCCCTGATATCTAAACGGAAGATTTTCATCTGATAAATGAGTAGATTTGGACTTCTAATTTCTGAAGTTGCTTTACAATTCAGCCTTACAATTCTGACTCAATAGTAAAACTTGCTGGGTTTCCTTAGAAAGTGAGCTATTCCAAATAGGTTGGCATTCTAAATAACGAAATAGTCCTGTTTAAAAAGAAACCTTTAAAAGTTTAACAATTTTAAAATATAGTCATTTTAAGATTATGCACATTTATTCATGATATTAAAGAAGATATATTAAACATAATTTAGCTATTCTTAATTACTGAGGGTCACCTGAAACACTTATATGGGGTATCTTTGGAAGGTTAAACTTTTTTTGCTCTTAGGATATGTAACTTGAGACTACCGTAAACACACACACACACACACACAAACACACACACAAATTCCTATTATTCATTAGTTTTCCTCTTCCCTTCCTTGCTACTACCTTTCAGGTATTACCTCTTACTACTAATTTTAACTCTCTCTAATCATTATTTAATACACAACAAAATGGGAAATAAGAAAACTGGTTTCGATATATACATGTGGGGATTCTGGACTTTGAGTCCACCAATGTCATTCTGTCTCTTTTTAGAATCTGGGTTCCAGGCAGTTAAAGCCTGGTAGCTAAGATGCCAACTATTCTTGGAGCAAGTTATTTTCTTCTAGTCTGTAAATAATTGTAGGCATTAAGGTATTAATTTAATAGTTTTTTATGCTAAAGTCTCTGAACAAAACTCATCAATTCAAGGTACTTAAACTACAAACTATTTTCTATTTTTTTCACACCTGCAACAGTAACAAAAAAAAGATGCGTTTCCTGGTCAATAACCTGGAACTTATTCTATCGAGAAAAAAAAAAATGAAAGAAACTATGGAACTTTTTATATTACTAGTGTTCTGCTCGATAGTTTTAAAACATTATTTTTTAATTGACAAATATCTACTTTACTTTTTTTTTTTTTTTTGACACGGAGTCTTGCTGTGTCGCCCAGGCTGGAGTGCAGTGGCGTAATCTTGGCTCACTGCAACCTCCGTCTCCCAGGTTCAAGTGATTCTCCTGCTTCAGCCTCCTTAATGGCTGGGATTACAGGTGTCTGCCACCACGCCCAGCTAATTTTTGTGTTTTTAGTAGAGATGGGGTTTCACCACGTTGGCCAGGCTGGTCTCGAACTCCAGACCTCAGGTGATCAGCCCATCTCGGCCTCCCAAAGTGCTGCGATTACAGGAGTGAGTTACCACGCCCGGCTTACATTTCAATCATGTTATGTTAGGTCATTTCAACATGTGGTTTAAGAACAAGATTTGATCAATAATATAACAATCTGGATTAAAAGAACTCTTCACAGAAAATTCTAATGATAGTCAACATTTGATAATTTGCCCAAATATAATGAAGTTATTAATGTCTTCAGTTTTAACAGAAGTATTTAACAAAAATACTCACCCTCCTGTGCCAATGGATCTCTTTTGATGGTTTTTCGAATCATAATAGCGCTGTAGGATCATAGCACTTCTGCTTTTCAAATATCCAGTCTCCACCTCAATATAGTTCTCCAAATAGGAAATGAAAATGGATTTGATAAGCTTAGACAAGAAAGTCTGTTTATCAGTACCTAAATTAAACTCCATCAGCTTGCTGGAAAGATTGGTGGTTCTTTTCATGAAAAAGGGGGAGAAAAAGATTAATATACATTTTAGGTATAGTAACAATATTAAGGAATACAAATTTTTACAACGTGACTTTCATGACTTATGTTAAGCCACCATTTCTTAAACTCTGGGAGAGTACTTATGATGCAGAGATCAACTCTACAGGGTTACATATAAATACAGTGAAATATTACGAACAACTTTACGGTTTTGAGAACTGTTATAAATTCCTAGGAAAAGAACTTGTGAGGCAATTAACTAGTCCAGAAATGGCGACAGTGGCAGATTGGCCTCAAGTATGTCTAATGCCATTCATCACATGGGACCCAAAACAGAGTACTGAAAGATCTACTGTCTGTTCACCCTCTTTTGTTTTGTCCTTGTGGACTTTCCCTCTAATTTTCTATTTCCCATTGCTGAAGATAGGGTCATAACAGTGTTGTTGTTGAGATGGACTTCCTCATTACGGTAACTTTGGAAAAACCTTCTCCCAAAATGAAGACACTGAAGAAGAGTAATAGGGTTGGGAAAAGTCAAGGAAAAAAAAAACCCCACAAGACTCCATATGAAGCTTCTGAGACAATCTCTAAGAGTAACACTGACATTTACAAAAGCACAAGACAAATTCCTACAGAAGATTTAGAGCTGAAATTGTCATTTGTTAAGATTACATCACTTCCTTTTGCAGTTTCTAAAGTTTTGACTGCAGATAAATGTAATTACACTAATGCTTAGAGAAAAAATAAAGCATAACATCCAATTCCTGACGTTAATGTATTAAGAATGTTGTACAATACAGTCTTGTACAATATAACTAGTCTATACAGCTAAGCATTTAATGCTAAAAGGTAAACTGGTGACAAACTTATTCAAAAATACCTGAATACTTCCTTGTTTTTATCAAAAAAATTTAAAAAATCTGTTATCTATTATTTTCTAATCATTAAAAATTTACCTTGTATACAGATCATAGAGATTTTTGAGATATTGCTCTGCATCGGACTTCCTACATTCTTCTAACTGCTCTTTCACAAAACTCTAAAAGAAAAAGGTTAACATTCTGTTAATTAGGTAAATATTAAATTCTACAACTTCTCAAGATATTTTTCTTTTAAAATTCACTCCACAGTTTTGAACCTTTCTGACTTACAATCCAATCAAAAAGGCAATTACAGAAAACAAACCAATCATAAAATATTTTAAAACAGGTTTTTACATTTTACCACTTCTCATATTTACCTGTAGAGGATCTTTATCAGTCTTAGGAATAATACCTTTTCTGTTAAATTGGCCTATTCTGCTCTGTGAGGTGCATCAAAAAAACAAAACTGAGAGTACAAACAATAGAGTCAATTCCTTAAGGCAGCATCTCCCAAACTGAGTTCCAGGTAACACTAGTGTTCCTTCAGATGTCTATAGGCATTACTCCAAAACAGGGTTTCTTAGACAGTAAATGTGTGAAATGCTGTACATTACATCCCCACTTCTAGAGAATGACAATACTATCAAAATTCCTGAATTGTGTTAAAAAAAAAAAAAAGCAAACATTTATTGAATGTTGTTTAATCCAGTTGTAAACAGCTTAGGAAATGTTATCTGAAAGTACAGTGATATGGGGGTAAATTAAATTTCTGTGTTTTCCCTTTTCAGGTTAGTACCATATTATTAAAAATTCTACAGACTGCTCTTGTAATTCTTGTTCAGTTTCACAAATGACATCTATTGGTGAAGGCAGGGACCAAAAAAAAAGAAAAATCTTCAAGGCTATCTTACCACAATATATTATACTACTACTACGAATACTACACAAATTTCAAGCATGTTCTCTGATGATACTTATTGATTAGCACTTTCTTCTTGGTGAATACAAAACATTTTTTAAAAAGCATGAGGATTCCTTTCTCCTTAACTAGATTACTATTTCTAAGGTCATTACATAAGTAAACTAAATTTTAAAAATACTTTTAAAATATAGGGAAAAAATTACATATTGCTTTAAGAACTATTTAATTTGTTACTATTTAAAATTACCTGTAGTTTGATTTCAAATACATTTTGAATAAGTTTAGCCAGGACTGTTTCTGGATTACTGAAGATATCTCCAACTTGTTTGTTCACTCTTTGACAGAGTATTCCAGCGTCTTCAAATATATCATTTCTCAAATAAGCACCCTAAACAGCAGAGACATTTTATACAGTGAACATATAATTTCTACATGATTTTAAAACAACAATTAGCATAAAATAATATCCAACAAAGTGTACTGTTATGTTACCTCCTGGCACTGCTTTATATAAACATCAACACAATGGGAATAACCCTACAAGGAAGAAACACATTGTTATTATTCTGATTCAATTATAATAATTATTATTTCAAAAAAAGAAGTGTTATATGTCATAAAGCTATGACTATTTACCAGTAAATGGCCAATAGCAACACCTGTTGGACTTAAATAAAATTAACTGCAGAAAACCAGTAACTTGATAAAGGTATCGTCTCCCTAGTCACTTTCTATGATAAAATTTATCAGTTGGTACATATCCTTGTTGAACTTTAGACTAAAACAAGAAAGATGAAGTATGTAACTGAGTTCTTTAGAGTAATTTTTGTCCTATGATCATCTAGCCATCTCCTTCAACTCCAAAACACACCCACTCACACCCACCCACACACATACACACAAACACACACATACACAGAGAGTCAAGGTCTTGGGAAAAGGTTTTACATATATATATGTATGTGTTTTATATACATATAAATATATTTATATATATTAAAGTGTGTATATATACGTGTGTGTGTGTGTGTGTGTGTGTGTGTATATATATATATATGTGTATATATATATTTCTTTTTTTTTTTTTGAGACAGGATTTCACTCCTGTCACCCAGGCTGGAATGCAATGGTGTCATCTTGGCTAACTACAACCTCTGCCTCCCAGGCTCATGCGATCCTCCTGCTGTAGCCTCCCGAGTAGCTGGGACTACAGGCACATGCCTCCCCTCCGGCTAATTTTTGTATTTTCTGTAGAGACAGGGTCTCACCATGTTGCCTAAGCTGATCTCGAACTCCTGAGCTAAACTGATCCACCCGCCTCGGCCTCCCAAAATACTAGGATTACAGGAGTGAGCCATTGCGCCTGGCCTTCTCTAGCATTTGGTTTTCCTTGCAAGAATCTGGACAGTTGTATTCAGCTGGTAGTTTGGAAATTTACTTTTTAAACTAAATGTATTTTAATAAAATGTGTTTAAAACAAACTGATTTGTCATTAAGCTCACCATAATGAGATTTTTGCCTATTAATAAATCATACATAAAAACCAGTAAGGAAAGCAATATAAAGTGCACTACTGTCTCAAGAGCCATTCTCAATACTCATTCAGATTTTACCAAAATGAAAAGTCCAACAAATAGCTTCCCCTTCCCTAATCTGATACAAATCAAAGAAACAGATTGAAGGAAGAACCATTTCTTTAAGCACTTTCTTTGCAGAAATATACTCCTACACAGGGATTCTCTCCCGAGTTCAAATTCTAGGTAAACAATTCCGTAATACAAAATTCTTTTGTATTACCTCCTGAGGTCCCCTGGATTTAAGTCTCTTACTAGTCATGTTCCATCTACTCTCTGGTTCCTATATCCTACAGATATTTACGGTCACGTTTTCTTTCTTTTCACCTATATTATAATATGTGGAAGCAAAAAGGCAGACAATATGATTTTCTTTATCAAAGTATAAAAATTCATCAATATTTAATTGATCAATTAATTTTAATTCAATATTAATATTATTGAATATAAAACCTTAAATATTAAATATATAACATTCAATACCATTTACAGAGTATCAAATGTACAAATTACTCAAAACAGTGAAAATTATCACTGTGATAGTTACATAATGAATGGGGGAAATCAGAGACTATAATATATAGAACTTACGTAATTTCCATAGCCTTGAACACTATTCATTTTTAATTCCTACTATTTACCTTAAAATGAAGTAAAACTGCTGCTACTTCTCTCATTCTGGAGATTTCACCTCTTCTTTGAGCACTGGTAAACTCCTGAATCAGCTGGCATTCTAAATCATGGTATTTACCTAAAAATAAAGTCATTCAGCTACACTGAGGCATACAAGGCATCCACGTTATTTAAGAGTATCTACATTATTTACAAATATAATGACTATGAATATAGCTTTCTTTTGAAGGAATTACAAAAACAAATGAGATTATAGGCCGTGAACCCAGCCCCTGTAATATACTGTGGCATATAAATCTATATTTTCAAGACAAAAAACTTCCAAACTGGCAAAATTACTGAGCTTTCCAGGGTCTGACTGTCATATGCCATTGTTACTTAAACCAGTAGCTGACTGGAAAAAATCCTCCAGATGCTATTTCTGATAGCAACACACATGAAAAATCCTACACATGGAAAGGGTGAAGAGGACTACAGAACTCTTTACTAGAGTTCTGATGCCTCTACCTAGAACAATAGTGGACTGATGACTGAACACCAAATCTCATCCTGATAATATGCAGTATTTATATTTTTTTCATTTTCTTTTTTTTTTTTTTTTCGAGACAGAGTTTCTCTGTGTCACCCAGTCAAAGTGCAGTGGCGCGATCTCGGCTCACTGCAACCTCCACCTGCTGGGTTCAAGCGATTCTCCTGCCTCAGCCTCCTGAGTAGCTAGGATTATAGACACCCATTACCACACCCAGCTAATTTTTGTATTTTTAATAGAGACGGGGTTTCACTATGTTGGCCAAGCTGGTCTCGAACTCCTGACCTCAGGTGATCCACCCGCCTCGGCCTCCCAAAGTGCTGGGATTACAGGTGCGAACCACCATGTCCGGCCCTATTCACTATATTCTTGAGGCTAGTATGGTTCTTAACGAACACCTGAACTTCAGACCAATCTATTGTGATCAAAAATATTCCCAGGAAGTCTAACTAGCTGTGTCATCCTTATTCTAAGACTTTTTGGGAATATAGATGAATCTTTGAATCTTCTATGCAGTGGCCTACTCTAAATAGTGACCCCAGCTACCACAGAACCTGCAAATTTAGTGGTCTTTTCAAAAACCTAGAATGATCTAACCTAAACTAAAATCCAAGACTGGCAAGAACCAAACTAATCATGTAAGGAGTTAAATAGATACTGAAATGCTTATATAATCTTAAAAAAAAAAAGAGAGAATCTTATTCAGAGATAGATGTATGGAAAGCACAGGATTTCCAAAATGCACTATTAAATTAAAAATGCAAGGTATAAAGCTATTTATATAGTATGGTAGCAATTATTTAAAAATAAATGAGGATAGAAGTACATATAAATATCTATACATACACATACATATGTACACACACACATATATAGAATTTATGTCTTATGCTTGTATATCCATAGATTATTCTGCAAGAATATCCAAAAAAACTGGTAATGGTTGTTTTGAGGGAAGAGAAATCAAACTCAGGGATCTTCTATGCAGTAGCCTACTAGGGTAGGAAGATGACATTGTTCCTGCTTTTTCTCCTTTTGCTGTTTTATTTTTACACAAGTAGTTTTTTTACTTATTAAAAAAAAGGTAAAATAAATACATCACTTACTTGCAATTTTGGATTTAACTTCTGAAAATCTGAAAGACAAAAACCAACCATGAGGTTTGTTAGTTGTGATAAACATCCTATGGCAATGTAAGATGCTAACCAAATGGGAAACTGGGTGCAGGAGATACGAGAACCATCTGTACTATCTTTGCAACTTTTCTGTAAATCCAAAACCATTATAAAGTTAAAAGGTTATTGTAAAAAGAAAAAAGACAAAATCAGAGGAGAGAATTCTGATAGGAAGCATGCCAGGTGATAAAACTTAATGTAGGTAGGTAGCTGGTTCTCATTTAGGAAATTCACATTGAAAATCAATTCTCTTTTTAAAGAATCAACTGCTCTGCATAAGACACTAACAACCCAGCCAGTCCCAAAACTGACTTACTGTTCTTACTTTTATTTGCTGGCATTTTAAATACACTTGATTATTTGTCTCCCTCCCCATTCCCATGGTTGGTATTTTTAAAAATAAAGTTCCATCATTATTATTCAAAAGAAAAAGATGATCAAATAATATATTATATGATGATATATTAATGACAAATGATAAGACCCAGCAATGTGCCTAGCAGAGTAGCCATTCAATCTTTACAAATTAAAAAACTAAAATACCACGCAGTAGAATTTTTTCAAATCTCAAATATCTAAGTGAAATGCATAGCATGAAAAAGAAATATTTTAAGATTGTGTGCAATTGTTTGAAGAGAGAGGAGAGTGGCTGGCAAAAGAGATGCCAAAGACAAATGAAGAAGGAAACAAAAATCTAGAGTGTTATACAAAAATGATGTATCAAAGTCACAGTAGATCAGATCACATATAAGGCCATATTAATCTGTGTGAAAAAATTGAATCTATTTAGGATATATATTCAACTCCACATATATATACACACACACACACACACACACACACACACACTCATATTCACCACCACTCAGGTACATACTTCTCTTATGGTTTTGTTTTGGCCTCTTCACCAAGCCTTGGAGTTGAATATATATCCTAATTAGACATATATATATATATATATATATATATACACACACACACACACACACACACACACACACACATATTCATATTCATATATATATGTATATATGCATGTGTGTTCTGGAGTGGAAAAATAGGATGAAGACAGGGTAGGGGGATGCAGTCAATAATTATTATGAGCCTATTTTGAGCTAGACATTTTACCCATTTAAGTAAATAGTCCAATTCTGAAATGACATAAAGTTAAAGAGAAGTTTTGGTGGGTGACTTTAAAAAGTATTACAGTAAGTTAAATCATAATGCTGGGCAACTACCAGATTATTATTAAGAATGATAGATGATCATTATTGCTAATTCTTCATGATAATCAGAGTTGAGAATAAAATAGATACATTTTTAGGGGGAATTCATTACATGTTTGGGAGATAATGGTTAAGCTAAGTATAGCAATATATCCATATTTTACCTGTTCCTGAAGATCTTCAAGTATGAACAAAAATAACATATTATATGTCTATTACTATGTATCATTTATAATATATTAAATCATATTTCTTTCAAATATTCACATGGAGGAAGTACTATTTTACCAACAGTTTATTAAAGAGTCTGACATTCCATACACTAGAAGAAATCATGAAAAAATTTCCTTCTCAGTGGATAGTTTATTTTAGGATGAAATCTAACTTAGTAATGGCTCTGGGGCCTTGCATTTTAAAAAAAAGGGGTTCTTAACCTGAAGTCCCTAGGAAGAGTTCTGTGGATAGGCTAGAGTCTAAAACTCCATGAAATTGTATACAATAATCTGTGTGTATCTTAATTTCCTGAAGAAAGGTGATAGCGTTCATCAGCTTTTCAAAGGTGTCCAAGGCCTCCAAAAGCCTAAGAACCTTCATCAGGAAATAGGAAAAGTGTTCTCTCTATCCCCTACCTGGTTCTCAAAGTCCAAAGTATGAAAATCCAAATTTAACCTCAGTCGATTTCAAAATTCTCCTTCATCAAATTTTTTTTCAGGAGACAGGGACTGAAATTATTTCAAGGCCTATCATTAAATTTAGATATTAAGAAGAGACTGTATTTTTTCAATAAACTATTTTACACTGCATCTTGTACAAAGTGAATAAACTAGCAAGTAAATGAACCAGCAAGTGCTCAATAAATTTCCGTTTAATTAATGGGCAAAGAAAATCATACAGGAAAAGATACTATTTTATTTTATAAATTATACCACATATTCAAATTAGCTCTTGAGAAATGAACTTGCCTATCAAAAGGTAACTCTTGGGCAATTAGGTGCAACTTCTGAATGATGTCTGCTGCTTCCTTTATCTATGAAAAAATAAATAAAAGCAATAATTTAAAAAACTTTTAGGCATATCAAAAAATAATTATATATCTGAAATTAGTAATATCTCCCTGCATGTGCCCACAGTCCCTTCCCTAAAAAAATTTCCTTTAAAAATCCACAACAAATAAAACTTTATGAGCAACAAGAATACATTTGGGGTGTTACCAATAATGAGTCAATAATAACATAAACATTTAGCTTTCTGGTACTGAAATTCTGTGATTTTTTTGATGCCACAATCCCTTCCCAATGAAACCTGTAGTTCAAGTTTATTCCAAAGAAATTTAAATCATTGCTTGCTGAAAGCCAGGTGTAAATCTCAGAATTCTAAGTTTATGAACCCGAAAAGGATAAACGAGATTTATAAAAATAATTTAGAGCATACTGCCACATATATCCTACTGTAAGTTAAATGCCTGTCATTACTGATCATATGAATTTATAACACTTGTTCTAAAAGAAAATATAAAGTTTAATGTAAAGCCCCATGATGAAATATAATATAGAAATGTGTATATTTCTTTTCTTTCTGTCTTTTTTTTTTTTTTTGAGACAGAGTTTCACTCTTGTGGCCCAGATATCTCTTAAGGCCACAGATATCTTGTGGCCTAGATATCTCTTGTGTGTAAAGCACAGATATCTCTTAAGGCTGGAGTGCAATGGCGCGATATCTGCTCACTGCAACCTCCGCCTCCTGGGTTCAAGTGATTCTCCTGTCTCAGCCTCCCGAGTAGCTGGGATTACAGGCGCATGCCACCATGCCCGGCTAATTTTTGTATTTTTAGTAGACACGGGGTTTCTTTATATTGGTCAGGCTGGTCTTGAACTCCTGACCTTAGGTGATCCGCCCACCTCGGCCTCCCAAAGTGCTGGGATTACAGGCGTGAGCCACCGAGCCCAGCCAGAAATGTGTAAATTTATTCAAGTTGTGGAACTAAGGAACTTAGGCAAGAGTTCTAAAATTCTTTAATGCAGATATCTGTGCTTATTTACACAACAGTTCAGGGGAGTTTACAATGTTCATTTATTCTTTAAATCTCAAACTAGTTCTCAGTTTTACTTTGGCACAATTTTAATAATTCATTTTATGAAGATTCATTTTCTTTTACATTTGAAAAAACAGTGAGACTCATAAATACGAAGGAAGAGCTAAGAACATCAATATAGATTTTTTTTATTTTCTCTTTTTTTTGAGACAGAGTCTTGCTCGGTCACTCAGACTGGAGTGCGGTGGCATGATCTTGGCTCACTACAATCTCCACCTCCTGGGTTCAAGCAATGCTCATGCCTCAGCCTCCCAAGTAGCTGGGATTATAGGCATGCACCACCACACCCGCTAATTTTGGTATTTTTTTAGTAGAGACGGGGTTTCGCCATGTTAGCCAGGCTGGTCTTGAACACCTGGCCTCAAGTGATCTGCCCATCTTGGCTTTCCAAAGTGCTGGGATTACAGGCTTGAGACACCACGCCCTGCCCAATATAGATTTTTCTAAGTAGGCATGTGAACTCTGACAAGCAACTGTGAATAACAACAGCAGAGCCTCTTCTCCCTTCTTGCTCCAAATTATAGTGAATATAGCATTTCTGCTTCAGTCATCCCTTTTCTCCTAGTCAGCAGGTCACTATCATTTTCAACTACCAAACACTCACTCTGTCCTGTTGTATATGGGCACAAATATCACTGCAGTATCTGTCCTCACCATGCCATTTAGTTGTATTAGCAAAATCCATCATTTTCTCCTCACCAATACCCCCTTAATACCCACTTCAGAAATAATATACTTGGCACACAGCCTGCTCTATGCTTCCATAAGGAGTTTTTGTTCTTTTAAGAAGTCATCATCATCATTGTGCTATTGCAAACTTTGTTTAATGTACTAACTAGTATAGGGGTAAATGGCACTTGTTTATATTGAATTTCCATAGCAAATTATTTTATAAAAATTGTGTAAAGCACAGATATCTCTTAAGGTTACAATATACAACATTTAGTCAGTTAAAACATACTACAACAATAAGTAACAAAAGCTGGCAAAACTATATTCTAATAGTTATTGACATTTGGGTGAGGTGAGAGACTACCCTTGCTAATAGTGTTAAAGATAATCACAGTCATCAAGTATTATCCACATGAGGAACAATAAGCTGCCATTCTAGGTAAAAAAGAAAAACAGACCAGGTGCGGTGGCTCATGCCTGTAATCCCAGCACTTTGGGAGGCCGAGGTGGGCGGATCACAAGGTCAGTAGATGGAGACCATCCTGGCTAACATGGTGAAACCCCATCTCTACTAAAAATACAAAAAATTAGCCGGGTATGGTGGCAGGCGCCTGTGGTCCCAGCTACTCAGGAGGCTGAGGCAGGAGAATGGCATGAACCCAGGAGGCGGAGGTTGCAGTGAGCCGAGATTGCGCCACTGCACTCCAGCCTGGGGGACAGAGCGAGACTCCGTCTGAAAAAAAAAAAAAAGAAAAAAAAGAAAAAAAAACAAAACCAACATATGTGTAAGGACAGAGGTAAACACATAATAGGGTTTTTTTTGTTTTTGTTTTTGTTTTCAGAATATGAGAAGATTCTTTTTTTTCTTGAGACAGGGTCTGTCTGTCACCCAGGCTGGAGTGCAGTGTGGCAGTCACAGCTCACTGCAGCCTCAACCTCTGGGGCTCAAGCAATCCTCCTGCCTCAGCCTCCTGAGTGCTAGGATCTATGGACATGTGCCACAACGGTCAGCTAATTTTTTTTTTTTGGTAGAGATGCGGTTTCACCATGTTGCCCGGGCTGGTTTCAAACTCCTAAGCCCAAGCAATCATCCTGCCTTGGCCTCCTAAAGTGCTGGGATTGCAGGCCTGAGCCACCACACCCAGCCAAGATGCCAAAAAAGAACAATTAAAAAAACAAAAATGACTAGGGGGAAAGAAGGAAAAGAATATGATGTGTTGATATCTTATCCCATTCTAATTCCTCCCACAATCACACACTGGTCTAGCTCTGTGGGTGCTTTTTCCTTTTCTTTCCATTGGGAAGGTGATTGGTACAGAGTCCAGAAATTGAGACAGCTAGGAGTTTATCTAATAATTGGCAATCTAATACTATATGAGTTCTTAAGGATGGCTAACTGGTAGAACTAGGCCAAAAATTAATTCAACTGCAAAGATATGGAACCAACCTAAGTGCCCATCAACCAACGAGCAGATAAAGATAAATATGGTACGTTTACACCATGGAAAACTACTCAGCCACAAAAAGGAACAAAATAATGTCTTTTGCAGCAACTTGGATAGAGCGGGAGGCCATTACTCTAAATGAAGTTACTCAGGAATGGAAAACCAAATACCATATGCTCTCATTTATAAGCGGGAGCTAAGCTATGAGGACACAAAAACATACACAGTGATATAATGGACTTTGGGGGCTCTAAAGGCGGAAGTTGAGAGGGGAATAAGGGGTACAAGACTACATATTGGATACAGTGTACAATGTTTGGGTGACAGGTACACTAAAATCTCAGAATTTAACACTAAAGAACTCATTCTTATAACCAAAAAACCACCTGTACTTGAAAAACTAAATTTTTCAAAAACACCTTTTCTTTAGAGGAATTATCTGTACACACATAACTATTTTCCAAAGAACTCTAAAAATTATAAATTCTATAACCCTATAGAGTTCTATTAAAAAAAAGTGTTGCTTAATTCAAAGTGAGTGTCAATAATACTTAGCTTTTACATTCCACTATCTGAAATATTCTATGGAGTAAATCTGGAATAATTCAGGAAGACTGTATTCAATATGAGTGGACAATGTTGCTATGTACATACAAGATCCATAAGAATGTCCATTTTCTTGCACATTTTGATTTTTTTTCCCCTGAGGGGAAGAAAGTGAGCTAAATTACCTTCTTTCAAGATTGTAGAGCAGCCAATACCATGTACCCTTAGACCAGGAGTAAGTGACTAGTGCTATGAAAAGGATTAACATAAACAATTAATTCAGAATTTTTTTCAGCTCTCCTTGGTCCAAACTGCTTTAATTCTTTATAAGAGATCTTTATTCAAGTAATAAAAACCAGAAGTTCTGAATTCCTTATTGCTTTACAGAAAAGCATCTCAGCTTATCAATGATTTAGGTCAGACCACCCCACCACCACCCAATGGACTGTCACTATTTAAAAACTATAGAAATTCTGTTAATATTGAAAGAAATCTATGGTAAAGAGATATTTATGAACACAGCTACCACAGCATTTTTAAGCCACAAAAAATTTCATTAAAAAAATGCCAGGAAACCCAATTAAACATCTCAATATTAACACTTCATCAGCAATCTACAAGAAACTGTATTAGTTTACATTTCAGAACAATAAAAACTTTTAATAAGTCAGCTACTCAGTGATTTGAAGTCTAACTCTGGAAAGCAATTATTGCAGCTCATAATTAGGGCACTGTTATTAATGCTGTGATTTGGTTTTATCCTCTGACAGCACTTACCTTTTCAGAATTTGTAAAAACATCAGATTTCAATTCTCCATCTAGAAACTCATTAAAGTATTTCATCAATTTCTGAGCCTCCACTGCCCGTTGTCTGGGTGTGTTTACCCCCTCTAACTGGTCTCCAAGGTGACAGACTTTAGTTGCTACATAGCTAATGTGCTCATCTAGTTCTTGGAAATGTTGGAAGGCAACCTAGGAAAAATGTGCATAAGCATAAAATACAATCAGTGTGCTCAGTTTATAATCTAAACTACTACTCTTATTGCTACTAACTAAAGATAACAGAAGTTATATACGAGATGATCTACAAAATTCATGCTCATTAGTGTGACATGATCTGAAAATCTGTTAACCAAACTGCAAACTTTTATACCATTAACTATTAAAATAATATTTATCGTGAGTACATTAATCAACAAAAAAGCAAACAAAAAAAGCTGTTTACTCCTCATCCTGTTTTAAAAAAACACTCAACACCATTTAGCCCCAAATGATGATTCTGAAAACAATTAGCTAAGTATGAAAAGGACCAGACATCTAAAGAGCTCTCTTGCTACTAAACTGAAAAGAATAAAAAATATGTCAGTAGGAGGCCGAGGGAGGCAGATCACTTGAGGTCAGGAGTTCAAGACCAGCCTGGACAACATGGTAAAACCCAATCTCTACTAAAAATACAAATATTAGCTGGGTTTGGTGGTGGGCCCTGCAACCCCAGCTAGCTGGGAGGCTGAGGCAGGAGAATCGCTTGAACTCAGGAGGCAGAGGTTGCAGTGAGCTGAGATTGCACCACTGCAGTCCAGCCTAGGTAACAGAGTAAAACTCTGCCTCAAAAAAAAAAAAAAAAAGTCAGTGGTAAAATATACCAATTTATTTTAAATATTTAAAAAGTGATGTTTATATATAAAGTAAAATAGTTCTTTCCCAGTTTTGAAAACAGAAAAGTAGCAATTATTCTACTAAGGCAAAGGTATATTACTTTCTAGAATATTCTTTCCCTTCTCCCAGGGTACACTGATTGTCCTGTGGCATATGGAAATTGAATGCAATGAATGCCTTGTAATTGCCAACAGTGGAATTGCTGATAATCTAGTGTGGGACGTTTTTCCAACCTTAAACTGAGGTGGGGAAGAGCTGTAAACATTTATTAAGGACTTTCTCTGTGCTAGACTAGACACTGTTCTAAGCATATTACATGTATTTACTTATATAATTCTCTCAACAACACACTTTACAGATTAAAAAAAAACCTGAGCCATGAAAAGGTTAAATTGCTTGAGATTACACAGTTCATAAGCGGCAGAGCTGAAACTCAAACTCAGGCAGACTTGTCCCAGAGTTTATTAGCTTAACTATTATTATTATTACCAAGGGAAAACTGCATTAAAAGTATTTAGAAACTGTCACCTTAACTCTTAAAAATGCATTCCTTATCTTAAATTACTGACTTCCTTATTTCTCATAGCCACATATGTTTAAGAAAAGGAATCTAAAAAATTGAAACTTTAGCAGCAATCAGTTTGCTAATCCCTAACACTAAAGAACTAATGATCCCTGAGAGGCAGCAAAGCTAAACAATATTCCAAACTACACTAAGGGAAATCAAGGCCAGGAGCAGTAGCTCACACCTGTAATCCTAGCACTTTGGGAGGCCGAGGCAGGCGGATCACCTGAGGTCAGGAGTTCAAGACAAACCTGGCCAACATAGCAAAATCTCTACTAAAAATACAAAAAAATTAGCTGGGTGTGGTAGCATGTGCATGTAATCCTACCTACTCGGGAGGCTGAGACAGGAGAATCACTTGAACTTGGGAGGTGGAGGTTGCAGTGAGCCAAGAACACACCACTGCACTCCAGCCTGGGCGACAGAGTAAAACTCTGTCTTAAAAAAAAAAGGGGGGAATCAAATTCCAGATAAGGCCCAGCCTGTGAATGGGATTCAGAGGTTCCAGATTAAGTCTAGGACCTAAGAGTGACTAAGAAGTTTGGCCTGCTGAGCCCCAGGACCAATCTAGTGATTTGGTTTTACTCCAAAACAGATCAAGGCAGTTTTTCCTACAGTTACACTAGAATTCTCATTGGAGCATACCCTCATGACTTTTGTGAAACTTCCCAGACCAGGTTTTCTCAAGGGAAAACCTAATTCAGACAATAGCTGCTTTCATATTACTTTGTTTTACGATTAAAGAGAAAGCAAATGACTACCTAAATATCCAAGCTAATAAAGAGTTCCTAAAACTAGGGGTCTACTGAAGTGTCATTCTTCAAAGTTCGCATTGTTAGAGGAGAATCAAGGACCACACTAAACTGGATACCACTCTATCCTAAGAAGAGTACTGTGATCCTAAACCAACACTCTGTGGAAAGCCAATGCCAAGAGTACTTGATAACAATTCATTAACATTTTACCCCATGGGACTAAAGCAGTAGAAAGAAATCTTGACAGTTACTATCATCTGACTAGACTTTTTTAAGAGCTTAAAACTGGAAGAAAATAAAGATATTATAGCCTATATAAAATACCCATTTCTTAACAAAACGTTTACCTGATTGCTTTTCTGCAGCTCTTGTACCTTCTTGGCAAATTCCTTGGCTTCTTTCTGACATTGTTGCTCTAGTTTCTCTACTTTCCTCTGAATCCTTTCATCCATTATCTGGAGTTCCTGAATATGATTTACAAATTCTTCTAATAATCTAACAGAGGAAAGTTTGAATATGTATCAATCTACCTATTATTAATCCTTAGGAACTGACCAGTTAACTTATAATCATAGTCTTAATAAGAAGAGTTCCTTGAGCTTGAAATGATCATGTTAATTTTTTCTATAGCATCTTGTTAGAAATTTCTTCATCAAAAGATAAAGTCTTTCTGTAATTTCATAACTTCCTCATAGTTTTGTCCAGGCCACATGGCTTTAAAGCAAACATGACATTTGAAAATATAGCCAGGCTTTAACTATTGACTTTTTCGTGGATCATCTCAGAGGTGAATGAAAACCTCACCCAGAATCCCCAATAAACCCCTAGAATAGAAATACACTTTATAGCCTACTTAAAATAGTCAAGAAGGCAAATGTACTATATAAAAATAATAATATACATTCCAGAGTTCAGTGACTTTGTTCCCCCAATTTACAAATATATTTAAAACAATGTATTTAATGTTTTTATTTTAGAAGTATAATCATTTCTAGTTTATGACTCATTAGAAGAAATGTCAAATTCTTATACTCAATAAAATTACTTCCTGCATACCAGTTAAATTGCTTCTTTAAAAGAACGTCAAAGAAAAAATCTCAAACTTTTAATGCTCTGTTGTATTGTCTTTTATTGGCCAAATGTTAACTAAAATCCTTGTAGAGGAATGCTGAAAGCAATCTCAACAGTCATCTCTATTCTAACACTAATGTGTACCAGATTAGATCTGTGGGGAAAAAAATTTTTTTATTTCACCTTTTAGGATCAAAAGCTTCAGGTCCACCTCTAGAGCCTCCTCCTGGGGTTCTCCATACAAGACGTTCAATATATTCATCTGCCACAAAAGGCTCCTAGTTTACAAAAAAATACGCTTTAACAAAGTTTCATATACAAGTACTTAATATTACTTATAAAATTAAAACAGCTTCTACTAGGTAAAAACTTAAAATGAAATTACTAATTGTTTAAATACATCTATATTATTAAAATGTACAGATTTTTTCAATTAAAAAATCTTCAATAAACAAAACAAATTACTTAATGAAAATTAGGATATTAAAATACTAGAACAGTATTAATGACCAACTGGAACAACTCAACAGAAAAATGAGCAAAGTAAACAAACAAGTAATTTGTAGAAGAAATAAAATGGTCAAAAAAATTATTTTTAATGTACAGCCTTACTAGTAATCAAATAAGATCAAATTATCCTTTTTTAAAAATCTCACAAAGTTTTTTTTTTTTTTAATTATAATGAGCAAGGCAAGAAAGGATAAACTGAAATTTATACTCTCAGTATTGTTAGAAATGTCAACAGGTACAATCTTTTTGGAGGCCAGCGGGTAAGTATTAGGTAACATCAGTGTGTTACAAATGCTCGTATACCCTAACAGTAATTCCATTTTTAAAATCTAAGGGAAAAGCATATATGAATGCAAAAATCTCTGCAGAATGTTCATTGAGCATTATGTATATTACTAAGAAATTGTTTACATAAATATTCACAAAGCCATAGTTGACAAATTAGGGTAAACTTACAGGATGAAAAACAATGTTCCTTTTAAAATCATGATAATGTAAAAAGTTTAGAAATGAGAAAAAAGTCTAACATATGATAGCTGATGAAAAAAGCAGGATACAAAATCTTTTAATTTTCTTAAAAAAAAATTGTTTAAAAAAGGATATTAGAGAAGGCTCAATCAAGAAAATAAAATTTCAAATGTTCACCATCAACAGATAATACATTTTTTAGACTAATACACACTAATTTACATACTTTTCATACTACCCTCTTTCATGTAAATGGATACCACATATTGCCTCCTACCTAGCATGTAACTTAAACTAGTTGGTGATTACAATTTGAACTTTTATATCTGCAAAGTTTTTTCTTAAACCTTTAAAGATATAAAGTGCTGACATGTTTGAGAATTAAGTCCCAAGGATGAATTAATATCCTTCAAAGTAAAAAATATGCCACCCTGAAATACAATGAACTCATTTAGCAACATATTTAGATAATCAGCCTCTAGTCTGCCTCACTTCTGTCGAAACAAGAGTGGATGCGAATCTAAAGATTTTTAACGTCATCTAAAATTGAGAAATATTGACTCAAGATGAACTTATATTTAGAGCTACTTAGAACTTTAGAAACTAAGCTACTTAAAAATTTTAGAAAACTTGACCATCACATGAAATACCCCTATATAATGAAATGGTGATGACAGCTAAAATTTTTTAAGTACTTACTATGTGCCAGGCATTGCCTAGTATTTTACATACTTTATCATATTCAATATGTACTATGGTAAGTAGTAAGTCTACAAGGTAGGTTCTATTAATACCAATTCAATTTACAGTTGTGAAATTAGGAAGTAGTCAGCCCTTTCAAAAATCTACAGTACTTCCATTAAAAAACTTCATATAGTAATCATATCCCTTTCCCTATCATTTTCTTGGCATACACATTAGTATACTTAATAATCTTAGTTCTTATGTGTTATTAATTTTATGTGTTAAGTAATCATAGTTTTCAATTAAACACGTTATACTGTTCATCAATTTTAATATATTTTTATTAAATGACATACACTAAAGACTTATAAATAGCAGGTATTTACTGACAAAAAATTAAGGATTTTTTCATACAAAATATTTTCAATTACCTGAAAATATAGTATTCCTTCATTCAGCAAATATTAATTGAGGACCTACTACGTGCTAGAGACTATTCTAAATATCCAGGAAATAGTAAAAAAAGGAGGGAAAAATCTCTGCTCCTCTGGATCTAGTGGAGGAGAGTGACAGATAAACGAGCACAAAAAATGATACAGCAAGAAGAACCATGAAGAAAATGAAAGAGGATACAGAATGATGGATAAGAGTGGGATGATGATGATGATGATGATTTACTTATTTATTTTTTTGAGACTGAGTTTCGCTCTTGTTGCCCAGGCTGGAGTGCAGTGGCATGATCTCGGCTCACCTCAACCTCCACCTCCTGGGTTCAAGCAATTCTCCTGCCTCAGCCTTCCTGAGTAGCTGGGATTATAGGCATGCACCACTATGCTTGGCTAATTTTGTAGTTTTAGTAGAAACGGGGTTTCTCCATGTTGGTCAGGCTGGTCTCAAACTCCCAACCTCAGATGATCCGCCCGCCTCAGCCTCCCAAAGTGCTGAGATTACAGGCATGAGCCACCAGGCCTGGCCAGAGTGAGATTATCTTTGAAAGAAGTCACCAGGCAAGGCCTTTCTAAGAAAATAAATTTTGAGCAAAGATCTGTATGCAGCTAAGTAATAAGCCATCTGCGGGAGGTAGACTCTAAGCACAGGGAACACTCTTGGTATACAATCCATGAAAAGAGGCCAGTGTGACTAAAAGAGAGTGAATGCAGGGGAGAATAATTGTGGATGAGGTCAAGAGAGGTAATGAGACTCCAGAGTTTATACCAAAGTCTTATAGGATGTACTATGATATATTCCCTGTTATTGACTGAAGAAAAGGCCAGGTTCTCAAGAAGATAAGGTATTACCTTCTTCTTGGGAATGCCTATACACAATAATAATTCTCCTATTCCTTCTCCCAAAAGGAGCTACCACCATTTACTTTAGTACACTAAGGAAAGAAAAATATGCAAATATTTTGAAGTCTATTGGATATACGGTGCTAGTTGGCACTGGCACCTGATTGACCCAAAGCATCATGGACCGTGTCAGAGTGAGAACACATGGGGGCTGGGTAATAGATTCCTGGCCAAGATCTGGCAGAGTCAAACCAATATGTCCATGAGCATACCTAGTGGTCATTTCTGCAGTCTACAAATGTTTAACAGGTATAGACACACTTAGGGGCTGATATGGGTCTACAGAATAAGAACTATTATAATGAGGAAGCCCAGGTAAAAATCCTAAAGTCGCCCCTGTCCAGTTGAGGTAGCTAATCATGCAGGATGGCAAAAATTAATGCTACCCTTAAGAATATAAAGTAGAGATCTACAATGTTTTTCTTAAAAGACCAGATAGCTAGTATTTTAGGTTTGCAGACCGTACAGTCTCTGTTACAACCATTCAACTCTGCCACTGTGGTGCAAATGCAAACATACACAACACATGAATGAGCATGGTTGTGTATCAATAAAACAGACAGGATTCTGGGAAGATGGTGGAGTAAATCTGTCTCTCCATCTAGGTAACAACTGCACTCGCAGAATCTTTCTATTTTGGAACTCTGTAGGCTAGTGAAGGCTTATATCTTCCCAGGGGAAGGCTTAGACAAGAAAATGTGGTAATTTTGGTCAATTTCAGCTCTTAGCACAATAGCAGCTACCCAGGTCCCACCCTAGCCCTGTGGCAGAGTGCTGTCCAAAAATTCCTGGAACAACCTGCACACAGCTTGTAGGGGCCAGCATGTCCAAAAAGGACCCTGTCCTCCAAATATCTGAGATCCCTGCTCTGAGGGCTAATTGCTGCTTCAGACCACAGAGGCATAAAGAGGCTGGTGGCCTTTCTTGTTGCACCTTCCCCATTTTTGCAAGCTCCTCTCCCTCTGGATAAAGTGACTGTCAGAGGATTTAAGTAAATGGATCAAAGAAGAAATTACAAGGGAAATTGTAAAATACTTATGAATGAAAATAAAAACACAACATACAAAAACATAGGACACAGTGAAGGCAGTGCTAAGGAGTAAATTTGCAACTAGAAACATTTATATTAAAAAATAAAGATCTCAAATCAACACAACTTTAAAACTTAAGTTATTAGAAAAAGAAGTATAAACTTAAGTAACAAGAAAAAAAAGAAAAACTAAAGCCAAAGCTAACAGAAGGAAGGAAATAATAAAAACTGGAGCAGAAATTAACAAATTAGAGAATAAAGAAACAATAGGAAAAAAATTAATGAAACCAGAAGTTGGTTTTCCGAAAAGATCAACAAAATTGAAAAGCCTTTAGCTAAACAGACTAAGAAAAAAAGGGAGAAGGCTCAAATTACTAAAATCACAAATGAAAATGAAGACATTACTACCAATTTTATAGAAACAAAAAGGATTATAAGACAGCATTACAAACAATTGTATACCAATGAATTTGATAACCTAGATGAAATAGAAAAACTCCTAGAAACACAAAATCTACCAAGGCTAAATCCTGAAAAAACAGATAATATGAATACACCTATAGCCAGTAAGGGGACTGAATCAGTAATCAAAAATCTCCCAACAGAGAAAAGCCCTGGAACTCATGCCTTCACTGTTGAATTTTGCTAAACATTTTACAAAACTAACACCAAGCCTTCTCAAACTTTTCCAAAAAACTGAGGAAGAGGAAACACTTCCTAATTCACTGTATGAGGCCAGCATTACCCTGATACACGAAAGCCATACAAAGACTGTACAAGGAAACTACAGACTAATATCCCTTTATAAACATTCATGCAGAAATCCTCAACGAAGTATCAGCAAGCCAAATTCCATAGCATTATTAACATGATTACATACAACCCACAGAACAGGAGAAAATATCTACAAACTATACATCTGATAAGGGGTTTATCTAAAATACATAAGGAACTCAACTCAATAGGAAGAAAACAACCTGGATTTTAAAAATGTGTGAAGGGCAGAAACAGACATTTCTCAAAAGAAGACACATAAATGGCCAACAAGTATACGAAAAAATGCTCAACACCATTAATCATCAAGGAAATGCAAATTAAAACCTCAGTAAGGTATCACCTCACACCTATTAGAATGTCTATTATCAAAAAGACAAAAGATAAGTGTTGGTGAAAATGTGGAGAAAAAGGGAACCCTTGCACACTGTTGGTGGGAATGTAAATTACCACAGCCATTACGAAAAATGTTATGGCGGTTCCTGAAAAAATTAAAAACAGAAATACCATAATGATCCAGCAATCATACTACTAAATATATATCCAAAGGAAATGAAATCAGTATGTCAGAGATATCTGCACCACCATGTTTACTGCAGCATTATTCACAAAAGCTGAGATATGGAATCAATCTAAGTGTCCATCAATGGATGAATGGATAAAGAAAATACAGCATATATTCACAAGGGAATACTACTCAGCCATTAAAAAGAAGGAAATCCCGTCATTTGCAAAAATATGGATGAACCAGGAGAACATTATATTAAGTAAAATAAGCCAGGAATAGAAAGACAAATGCCACATGACCTCACTCATATGTGGAATTTTAAAAATTTGATCTCATAGAAGTAAGAGTAGATTGGTGGTTACCAAAGGCTGGGAAGGCTAAAGCGGAGGCAGGGAGCAAGAAGAGAGCCTGATTAACAGACACAAATATGTAGTTAGATAAAAGAAAAACTGAAAAATTAGTTGCCATTTCTATATACTAACAATGAACAATCTAAAAAGGAAATTATAAAAACAATTCCATTTACAACAGCACCAAAAAGAACAAAGTATTTAGGAATAAAATAAGAATTAACAAAGGAGGCTAAAGACTTGTACAGTGCAAACTATAATACTTCGAAAGAAATCAAAGAAGTCACAAATAAATGGAAACACATCCTATGTTTACAAACTGGAAGACTTAATATTGTTACAACGTCAATACTACCCAAAGTGATCTACAGATTCAACTCAATCCTTGTGAATATCCCAATGACTTTGTTTTATTCAAAAATAGACAAACCCCGAAGAGCACAAAACAATCTTGAAAAAGAACAGAGCAGCAGGACTCACACCTTCTAATTTCAAAACTTACTACAAAGCTACACTGATCAAGACAGTATATGGTACTGGCATAAAGACAGACATACAGAACAAGTGAACAGAATAGAAAGCCTAGAAAAAAAACCCTCACATATTTGGTCAAACAATTTTTGACAAGGGTGCCAAGAACATTCAAAACAGAAAGGACAGTCTTTTCAGCAAATAATGCTGGGAAAACTGGGTATTCAAATGCAAAAGCATCCTTACCTAACACCAAACAAAAATTAACTAAAAATGTCTCAAAGACTTACTTGTAATACCTAAAACTATAAAACCCTTAGAAGAAAATACAGGGTAAAGCTTCTAGATACTGGATTTGGCAATGATTTCTTGAATATGATACCAAAGCACAGGCAACAAAAGAAAAAAATAGACCAATCAGACTTAATGAAAAATTTTAAATTCTGGACTACATAGAACTCCTAAAATTTAATAAAAACAAGTAATCCAATTCAAAAATGGGCTAAGGACTGAACAGATGTTTCTCCAAAGATATATAAATGGCCAATAAGCACATGAAAAGATGCCTAACACTGGCTGGGCGCAGTGGCTCACACCTGTAATCCCAGCACTTTGGGAGGCAGAGGCAGGCAGATCTCTTGAGGTCAGGAGTTCGAGACCAGGATGGCAAACACAGCAAAGCCCTGTCTCTACTAAAAACACAAAAATTAGCTCGGTGTGGTGGCGAGTGCCTGTAGTCCCAGCTCTTTGGGAGTCTGAGGCAGGAGAATCACTTGAACTCGTGAGGCAGAGGTTGCAGTGAGCCCAGATCACTCTACTGCACTCCAGCCTGGGTAACAGAGTGAGTGAATCTGTTCCAAAAAAAAAAAAAATGCCCAACATTACTAATATTTAGGGAAATGCAAATCAAAACTACCATGAGATGCCACCTTACACAGGAAATGGCAAAGGGCCTAGCTATCAGAGAAGTAAGTTAAGATTGGAAGACCAAGGACAAGAAAGTCTGGAGTAGAGAGGCATATGGACTATACAATGAAAGAACTGTCCTCCCAAAATTCATAGGTTGAAGACTTAACTCCCAATGTGATGGTATTTGGAGATGGGACCTTTGGGGAGGTAATCAGTGTTAGATGAGGTCACAAGGTACAGGCACTCATTATGGGATTAATGTTCTTACAGGAAAAAGAAATCTCTCTCTGCACAAAGAAGAGATTACGTGAGCACAAAGTGAGACGGTGGTGCCTACAAGCTAAGAGAAGAGGCCTCAGCATGATAACTACCTTGCTGGCACTTTGATCTTGGACTTCTCAGCCCCCAGAACACTGAGAAATAAATTTCTGTTGTTGAAGCCATCCAGTCTATGGAATTTTGTTATGGAAGCCTGAGCTGACTAAGACAGACAGATACATGAAACTGGATGCAAAGTATGAAGTTCTTTGTATAACATGTTAGCACCAGAGAACATATACCATGAAAGAGGAACTAAGCAACCAAGTAGAAAAAATGACTTTGCTTGGCATTAGCACTCTGAGCACATGAACAAAGCAGACACAGTACAGACAACATGGCCCCAACTGCAAGGGGTCCTACTTACCAAGGCTGATCCAGCTACTGTGAAACCAAATATCTAGCCTAACAGTGACAGAGACCAACTCTAAGCCCCTAAAATAGCCCCATTCAAGACTAATCACATGGTTGGCAAGTTGACTACACTGGGCCCTTTCTACCCTAGAAAAAAGAATATTTTACTTTGATAGAAGTAGAAACATTTGAGATGGATTTGCCTTTCCTCAGAGGCAGTGTTTGTTCCTCTGGCACAGGACTCCACATACCATATCACACCAAAGGACCCAGGCACCCAGTTTACAGCAAAGGAGGTAACCATGGGATTCACTGGTCATATCATAAACCACACCAACCAGAGGTAGGCAGACTAACAGAGCACTGGAACACCCTGATGAAGGCACAGCTGAAGCACCAGTTCAGAGGGCATACTCTATTAAAATGATGCACTGATCGGGTGTGGTGGCTCAGGCCGGAGCTCAGGAGTTCGAGACCAGCCTGGGCAATACAGTGAAACCCTGTCTCTACTAAAATACAAAAAATTAGCTGGGTTGGTGGTGGGCACCTGTAGTCCTAGCTACTCGGGAAGCTGAGGTAGGAGAATTGCTTCAACCCAGGAGGGAGAAGTTGCAGTGAGCCAAGATCACACCACTGTACTCCAGCCTGGGCGACTGAGCAAGACTCCGTCTCCAAAAGCAAAAAAAAAAAAAAAAGGAAGCACTATTCTCCAAGATGCAGTATATATTCTGAATTAAAAGGCTTTATATGATGCTGTGACTCCCATAGGAAAAACACATGAGTCTGGCAACAAGAGGTAAAAGCAGAAAGTGGGTTCACTTATCATGACTCCCAGTTTGTGCTTGGGATCCCTGTAACTCTAGGTTCTTCCGGAATAGTCTTGGTGCCCAAAGAAGGAACACTTTTGCCTACGAACATAGTAAGAGTGTCATTAAACTATAACTACAAGTACTGCCTGGTCATATTGTCTCTTTATATCTAGGGAATAAGAAGAGGAGTGATCATCTTTGGCTAGGGCAATCAACCATAATGATCAGGATGAGGCAGGGCTGCTAATACACAATGGGGGCAGAGAGCAGTATGTTTGGCACACAGATGATCCTCTCAGGGATCTCTTAACACCCCCTCAACCAATTCTGAAAATGTATGGACAAGTGTTACAACCCTGGCCTAAAAAGGGTATTATAACCAGTTAAGATACCAAGAACATCAGAGGTACCAGTTGAAGGTAAGGCAGAGTTACAATCGATAGTAGAGGTGAGAGACAGTGAATATCAGTTGCAACTCCGAGACCAGCTATAGCAGTGGGGGCCACAGTTCATCTCACTAGCCTTCTTCTTCTAATTTTCCTCCAGGATGAGACCCAACCAGAATGTCAGAAGAGCTGCTCCCCAAATGTATATGAAGAAGTAAAGTCTAATAGTGGAACAAGGGTTGTCTGTGGTGAACACAATAATGTGCCATCCAGATTGCCCTTCAAGAAGGGACTTGCTCTAACTGCTAATAGTGCTGTCAACAAAAAGCCTTCATGGGCAGATTTTCAGGGACCTCATCAGATGCAAAGAGACACTTCACCCAATGTCATGTCTTTCCCAATGTGATCCATACCCAATGACTGATTAAGATGGGAGTATAAGGGCCAGACCACTTTGGTCCAAAGCAGGACAACTCTGACAGGTCATTTTAGTTTCAGACCTCCCCACAGAAGCCATCAACACTGCCACTGGACGAAAACTGTAACTCTACTTCTCCACATGCTCAATCTTGTATCCTTGCTCTGCCCCTCATAAATGTTCATCCAAGGTTACTTCCTAATAAATATTCTGCATACTAAACTGTCTCAAAGTCTGCTTCCCAAAAGACCCAACCTGCAACACCTTAGTAGTCCAGTCAAGAGATGGCAGTGACTCAGATGAAAGTGGCAGTGGATGAGGTGCTGAGAAATAGGTTCATGACGTCTTAAGGCATGCATTCATATAAGTTGCTGATAGACTGGATATGTGGAGAAAGAAAAAAAAGGAATAAAAGATTACTCATTGAGGTAGAGGTTTGCAGCCAGGACAACTTTGTGAATGGTGGTGCTAATTACTGAGATGGGAAGATCAGGGAAGGAGATGGATGAGGGAGCAGTGAAACAAGAGTTTTGTTCCACATATGTTAAAGTGTAGATGCCTATTAGATATGTAAGAGAAATATAGAGCACATAGATGGAAAAACAAATTTTTACTACACGGAAGAAGCTGGAGCTTCACAAAATTTGAATCATCAACATATAGATGGTTACTTAAGGACTGGTTGAGATCTACGAGGAAGAAAGGCATGCCAAGATTTGGAGATAAGAGCAGGAAAACAATCCAACAAAAGAAAGCAAGAGGCACCAGTGTAGGTGGAAGAAAATAAGAGGTCAGTGTCCTGAAAGCAAAGTACACATTTTATCCTCAGAGACAAATTATCACAAGGGTTTACGAGAAGTCAGCAATTGATCCCCAAGGGATGGAAGTTCCAAAAAAGCAAAAAATAAAAAATAAATAAATAAATAAAAATTTAAAAATTCTGCTTATATAAGCAAATAAATCCTAATGCCTTGCTTTCTAATACTTTATCTTGCTGCAAAGGCGCTTACAGTGACAAAAAGCCAAATTAACAAATCCTAAGACCTCCAAATGACCAAGTCCTCCCAAAAGACTTCTCAAACAATTCCCTGTAATACAAATACCTGTAAAAAAATTTTTAAATCCTTCAGAATTTTATAAGGCTGACAAAGGTTTAGCTTCACTTTGTTTTGCTATAGTAATCAAAAGCAAAAATTACCAAGCCAAAACAAAAATCTAGAACTATGCACTAAGATACTACCATATGAAATTTAGCTTTACATAATTGGTTGTTATATTGCTCCATTAAACTGATTTTATATGCTTTACAAATGTTACCAATTGTAACATTAAAATATGATGTTTGTCATTGTGAGAGACAGTGTGACGATTCCTCAAGGATCTAGAATCAGAAATACCATTTGACCCAGCAATCCCATTACTGGGTATATACCCAAAAGATTACAAATCATTCTACTATAAAGACACATGCACACGTACGTTTACTGCAGCACTATTCATAATAGCAAAGATTTGGAACCAACCCAAATGCCCATCAATGATAGACTGGATAAAGAAAATGTGGCACATATATACCATGGAATACTATGCAGCCATAAAAAAGGATGAGTTCATATCCACTGCAGGGACATGGATGAAACTGGAAACCATCATTCTCAGCAAACTCACACAGGAACAGAAAACCAAACACTGCATGTTCTCACTCATAAGTGGAAGCTGAAAAATGAGAATACATGGACACAGGGAGGGGAACATCACACACCAGGGCCTGTCAGAGGGTAATGGACTAGGGGAGGGACAGCATTAGGAGAAATACCTAATGTAAATGAGGGGTTGATGGGTGCAGCAAACCACCATGGCATGTGTATACCTACGTAACAAACCTGTACGTTATGCACATGTATCCCAGAACTTAATGGTATTTGTGGTCATTTCTACTGAAAAATCTCTTGGATGTCAATCCCTTGGACAGGAACATAAATCCCTAATTAAATAATGTTGCTTCCTTGACACAAATTCAATTTTTATATTTTCTTGTATCTCCATTCCCAAAAGCAGATCCAATACAATGTGTTGGAACCACCCAAAAACTCAAAGAAGCTAGGATATTTCCCCCAGCCTAGGTAAAAAAAATAAAGTAAGTCTCAGATCGTTTCAGAGAGATATTTCTGTATCTTGTTAAACCAACTAACCCATCGGTTCAAAAGTACTGCCTATCATGTATTTTCCTTAAATTTATTATGGATACCACTGTCTAACAAATCATTAAAACACTACCTCCTTTTAGTGAGAAACTTCCCTATATAATTCCTACTACACTATCAAATTCACACACACTTTTCTTTTTTTTTTTTTGAGATACAGTCTCACTCTGTCACCCAGTCTGCAATGCAGTGGTACAATCTCGGCTCCGCCTCCTGGGTTCAAGCAAGTCTCATGTCTCAGCCTCCTGAGTAGCTGGTATTACAAGTGTGCGCCATCACATCCGGCTAATTTTTATATTTTTAGTAGAGATGGGGTTTTGCCATGTTGGCCAGGCTAGTCTCTAACTGCTGGCCTCAAGTGATCTGCCCGCCTCAGTCTCTGGAAATGCTCGGATTACAGGTGTGAGTCACCACATGCAGCCAAGTTCACACTCTTATATCTACCCTTTAGGGTTCTTATCTTGTACCACCTACCCAAATTTCTCTGTACCTCAAAACAAACAGCCACACTTCCGTCAGACTATTCCAGTCTTCTTTTCAAGCCCATGCTACTCCTGCTTCCTAACCTGTGGCCAGGTAACTCACCCCACCAAGTATGGCCTTTCTCCTCCAACAATTCAAACACTGCTATACCATTATTCAAAGCCTGGCTCTATTCCCGTTTCTTCTTTGAAGGGTTCCTTCCTTACATGGTCTCCATTAATTTCTCCACTCTTAAACCCCTATGAAGCTTAAAAATTCAAATCCCAACACAGAACATTACTAATTGTCATTTTGTCATTTATTGATTTAGAATCATTTTCATAAGTTTCACTCTTTTCTCCATACTTAAATTGAAAGCAAGGGGATGCTGTGTCATACATTTCTCTTGCTTTCCAGCTGTAGTCAACAGAACAATGCCGAGCATACCAAAACACTAGCTAGTTGGGGCCATGGCTGAAACCCCTGCAGAGGGTCTTGAAAGTCATGCTCTTGATCCATACATCCAAAACCAAAAAGGCAGGACCACCACCCCACAACCCAGAAATAAAGAACAGGCATTACATGGTACTATCAATCAAAGATTCTAACAGAAACCAAATATGAGCCTAATACAATTCTGGCACTACAAAGAACTAAAAGAATTTTATAATATTCGGCCTCTACTTTCTAACCCCATTTTCTTTGATTTTTCAGTGAGATTCTTTACGTGTTTTCTGTATATTAATAAATAAGTTATATTTATTGAATACTGAGTTTTTAAAAAAGCACCACAAAATATTTTGTCTCAGGCTAGCAAAATGGATTTCAAAGGTAGTATGAAAAGGTAGAAAAATAAAGCTCATTAAGACACTAATATAACTAAAGCAAACTTTGAAAAAGTATTTTGAAAACTACTTGCACAAACACTACAAAATAAATAATTTTACTTTTTAAAATTAGTCAATGTTAACATTCAATCTTGAAGCCCTTTAAACTATGAAATTAGCCAATTAATCATGTTATCAAAATTGTTTTGAAGACTATTTAAACGATGGTAGTTTAGAATCTTACAAAATATTTTAGATTCTCTTAAGCAAAATATTTTTCCAGGATAGAATATATCTCATTTCGAACAGTAAAGTTATATATATTATGTCTATGTCCAAAAGGGAAAGGTAACAAATGTTACAATTCCTGTTACACTAGTCTCAGCAGAATCATATAATTAGATTTAAAATTCGTAATGCAAGAATGTTCTTTAAATATCATCACAGCCCAGCTCTTTCATCTCATTTTTATAAATAAAGAAACTGAGGAAATGAAATTTAAGTCTTATCAAGGTACTAAACCAGGATTCTAACCCAGATATTTTTCCCACTCTATTATAGTGCCTTTAACATTTATAGACTGTGAAATTACTTTAAATATTTAATAAAATCTGCCATTAGCATTTCAAATCAAATTAAGTGTATTGCCAAATACACACGTTAAATATTCTTACAGGCATTTAATAGACACCTTGGAAATGAAATTAAACAAGTGAAAGAATCATTTGCTTCTTTCGTTTATTATAACTTGAATAAGCAAAGATATGTAAATAACTATATTTTCTCATTTTCAAATTTCGGCTTCAAGGAAGTAACATCAGAAAAGTTTGCTAAGTTTTAAAAATATATATATACATAAACTATTGACAATCAAACTTTTAAATTATTTATCACTCAACTAGAACTTTCGTTTAATTTGTAGGTTATGTTTATTTGCACGGTGTTACATGAAATTGCAATCCACTTTTAAGAGAACAAGGCAATCAATCACTCTTTCAAATCTCTCTCACACATGTGGGCACACACACACCTCAACTATCTAATTTCCTGGGAACACCAGGGACTCAGTATTTTAGATTAATTACACACATGTGCAGTCTATAATACTGTCCTCAATTTAATGACTTGCTTATTCCAAAAGTTCACTTCCAAGTTGCTTGGACTGGAGAACTCCAAAGCATAAAATACTTAAATGGAACTCTATTACTCTTAAGCATCAACCTCTACCTCTACCACTGTCTCCACTAAGACCAGCAGAAGGCTATTAGATCTTGGTGCAGGTAAGAAATTGATCGGCCTCTGTTACAGTTATCTATTGCTGCCTAACAACCACTCAAATAGTTAGTGGCCTAAAATAACAATAATCATACTGTTCACAAATCTGATTGGAGGAGGGCTCAGCAGGGAAACCTGGTCTCTGCTCCACATGAAATAAGCTGGGGCTGCTCAACTTGGCTAGAAGATAGTCTTCCAAGATGGCAAGTTGGTGTTTACTGTTAGCTGGGAGTTCAGCCAGAGCCAAGGGCAAAGGGCCTTGGTTCTTTCAAAGGGCTGCATGGGCTTTCTCTTGGCATGGCTGCTAGAGTCCAAGAGGTTACCTAACCTTGCAAATCACTACATAGCATCACTTCTATAGTCATAGGCCTGTACAGATTCAAGAAGTGAACACAGAACCTACTTCCTATGGGAGGGGCATAAACATCACAATGTAGGATGGCAGATCTTGTGACCATCCTGAAAAATACAACCTTCCACAGCCCCTTTTTGTAATCCTCTCCTACTATAATCTCCTACTTCTTGGATCATTTACTCTGAGTCAACTGAGACTGAGAAGGCTGAAGTGTTCCCTCCCTGATAGATCTCTAATCTAGTTCTCATCTCAATCCACTTAAATTGAAAGTGGCCAACACCTAATTTTTTAAAATGGATACTACTCTCTTAATAGTATGCTTCTAAGCAATTTAAATTTCTCAACTCAATTTAGTCATCAAAAAAACCTTCTGAAGTAGATACCATTATTTCCCCCATTTTACAGATGAGAAAACTGAGGTACAAAGAGGTTGGGTAACTTGCCAAGATCACACAACTAGTAAGAGGCAGAGCTGAGAGATGTCTTCCACCTCCTGGCTAAATTACCACCCACATAAAGTGATACTTCCTAAACTGCTATGTCTAACTGTGATCTCTTTCTGAGTTACTAATTCATATTTCCATTTGCCTTGTGGACTTCTTTACCAGGATGTCTTGCTAAAAACTCAAAGTGTAAATACATATGTGTGTGTGTGTGTGTGTGTGTGTGTATATATATATACGTATATATATACACATATATTAAGTATATATATACATATATGTATATATTTATACATTAAGTATATATACATATATACATATATACATAAGTGTATATATATACATTAAGTATATATGTATATATATATGTATATATATGTGTGTGTATATATACGTATATATGTGTGTGTGTATATATATACTTAATGAATATATTATTTCTTCCCCCTGCAAGGGTCCTTCTAATTTTCTCTGTCACAGTTAATGAATCACCAACCACCTACTTTTCAAAGTTTACAAATTTGGAATTTTAACTCCTCAGTAATCAAATTCCTTTAATTCTTCCTCCAAAATTCTTTTCAAATTTCTTCTCTGTCACCATTGAATTAGGTTAGACTTTCATCTGGCCAGATTAATCAGTCAACAGATAATTCTGGAACACTTACCAAATGACAAGAACTATGTCAGGTTGCCCACGATCCCTATTTTCCCAGCTAACAATTTCTTCCCCCATAGAAGGCCATTCTTCACACTAACATTAAAATTGTCTGTCTCCCTGACCCTTACCCAAAAAAAGTAAGGTCAGCCCTCTTGCATGAGGTATAAAAAGCCTTCTTAAAACTTCCCCCAGGCTGGACCCAGTGGCTCATGCCTATAATCCCAGCACCTTGGGAGGCCCTAGGTGGGAGGACCACTTGTGTCCTGGAGTTGGAGACTAGCCTGGGCAATACAATGAGACCCCGTCCCTACAAAAAATAAAAAATTAGCCAAGCATGGTGGCACATGCCTGTAGTCCCAGCTACTCAGGAGGCTGAGGTGGGAGGATCGCTTTTGCCTAGGAGGTCGACGCTGCAGTGAGCTGTGATTACACTACTGCACTCCAGCCTGGGTGACAGAGCAAAACCCTGTCTCAAAAAACAAAAAAACTGGCCAGGCACGGTGGCTCACGCTTGTAATCCCAGCACTTTGGGAGGCCGAGGCAGGTCGATCATGAGGTCAGGAGTTCGAGACCAGCCTGGCCAACACAGCGAAAGCCCATCTCTACTAAAAATAAAAAAATTAGCTGGGCATGGTGGCAGGCACCTATAATCCCAGCTACCCAGGAGGCTGAGGCAGGAGAATCGCTTGAAACCAGAGGCAGAGGTTACAGTGAGCTGAGATCACGCCACTGCACTCCAGCCTAAAAAAAAAAAAAAAAAAAAAAAGCAAAAAAACAAAAAAACTGCCCTCGAACTCCTATGGTCTCAATGCCTTGCCACCACTCCCTATTCTTAAAATATGCACATACACATCCTAACTCTTCTCAACTGCCTCACCTTACAACAAACTGGAGCCATCTTGTGTCTCTGCCTTGGAATGCCCTTCTCCTGTCTGAAAAATCTCTACTCATCCATCAACATCCAATTTCTATATGCCATTACTAAATGAAACCTTTCCTAATAATCCCTGGAAAAGATTCTATACTCCCACTGCGCTGTATTAATGTATTAACATGTCTGTCTTCCTCAACCAGATGCTTAACTCAACATCTTTTAACTCTAGTACCTGGAATGTCTGGCCTACAGATTCATTCAACGTTTGCAGAATGAATACATTCTATCATATCCATGTTACTACAATTGGTAGCCAAGGTCTATAAACACTTAACAACTAATATGGTTAAAATAAATAGCATTTCAGCACCTTGACAGTAACGGGGTGCTCCTTACTTGTGTATCTCATGTTCGTTAGTATATACCTGGCTAGCTAATTGAACAAGAGACATCATTTTCAACAACTCTGTTTAACTAGCTTTTGTAATTTAGTTTGAAAAATTAAGAGACAAATAAATGTGGGAAAAGGTGTTCTTCAATATTCATACTCTAATTTGGAAGTCAAACAGCCATTGCTATCATAGCCAAATTACCTGACCTCAAGCACTATTATCAAGGAACCTATATTTACAGAAAGAAAAAAAAATGAAATTTTAATCCTGGCATTTAGGACCTCCAAAATTAAACCCCGATTTACCTTACATGCCACTCTTCCTCTTTATGTGTGCTATATATACTCCAGCCAAAATGAATGCTCCCCTTATCTCCAGGGCCTACAACCCTCCCTTTATGTCTTAGCTTTTATTGTCTGCTTTACTGAAAAGTCCCTCCATCCAGTTCCACAAACTCAAATCTAATTTATCCTCTGTAGGTAATTCAAATGCCACCTTCTAATCCTTTCTTTCTTCTAGAGGCAATCTTCCCATCCTCTCAACACCTATGGCACATCTAGACCTCTTTGAAACCATTTATAACCTTATTTTTAAGAGTATAGTATCATATATCCACCTTCTCTCCCTCTATTTGATAAGGACAAGTTCTATACTTAATTCTATTTTCCAAAATATGTACCTTGTAATTCACAAAATTAAGTTAACAAGCAGTAGAAAATAAAAGTCTCTTTAAAAAAGAAAGAAAACAGTCTCATGGTGAAAAAAGTTGGGGAAATGGACTTCTCATCATCTTTAACATATTAAGGTATACCGCAAATCTCCAACGAAACAGACTATGCTCATTTCCATAACTTACTTGGTCACTGAACCCTTTTTTTTTTTTTTTGCGACACATCTCATAGGATTAATATTTCTATGGCATGCCCTTTGAGACATGCAGCCTCGTCAATTTCAGAACTTTATCTTGAACTTAAAAGGTACTCAACAAATATCTGTAGAATGAATGAATAATTAACCCTAGTTACTAACCAAGAACTCTCCCGTAATGGTAGCCCAAACAGAGAAAAGCGAAGATTCTTGAAGAATTATGGGGGAAAAAATTAAGCAAATGAGGAAAGAATGTCCTCAGTAGTACAATAAAAGGAGAGAGGAACATTTGCAACAACATAAAAAGAACTGGCGGGGCACGGTGGCTCACACCTGTAATCCCAGCACCTTGTGGGGCCAAGGTGGGCAGATTGTTTAAGCCCAGGAGATCAAGACCAGCCTGGGCAACATGGTAAAACCTTATTTCTGCAAAAAATTTTTAAAAATCAGCTGGGCATGGAGGCAGGCACCTCTAGTCCCAGCTACTCTGGAGGCTAAGGTGGGCAGATGGATTGTGCCAGGAGGGTAGAGGCTGCAGCGAGCAGTGATTACCCAACTGCACTCCAGCCTATGCGATAGAGCAAGACCCTGTCTCAAAAACAAAGAAAAGGAATTTCTGAGCCCAGCCACTTTGTATATGTAGAAGATACAATTTATCTACACCACATAAGAATCCTTACTCAGAATGTCTATCCTGAGGAGATTTTAAAACACTGTACATGGATCTTTTCAGAAAGATCTGTCAACAAAAGTTGAAACTAAGAAGGTATTCTGAGAAACTTCCAGGATATACACTATTACAATAGCCAAATCATCTATTACTAAATCATTTCGGTCAACTGAGGAAATATATTACAGTTTGATTTTGTTATATGAAGTTGTTTTCATTGAGAGTCATGGGACCAATAAGATTTTAAAAGAAGCAGAGTTAACATAATGAAATGTCATGGATTCAAAAGCTTAATTTTGTTTTCATTTAACTTCTCCTAACATGAAAAGTGAAAGCATAATTCTATTTAACAGTGCATGAAAATCAGGATGCATAAAAACCAAACATCCTTGACTACATCCTGCCTTCCGTTTTCCACAGTTCTCCAGCTGGGACTAAGAAAGGGAAGCAGGAGAAAAAGATACTTCCCGTGACTCTTACTACAACCTAGATGCTATGGCAGTAGTTACAGGAAACTGAGCAGTGACAGGATTTTTTTTCCTCCTCCCTCCAAGGCCAAGAGATCAACTTTTCACTTGGGGATGAAAACTTACTCAAGAGTAGAGTCCACTGTAGGGCTGGATTCATAGCAGTACCAGAAAAGATAAATGCACTTCTTAATTATAACTATTGAAACTTAATTGTAACTATTATGCTTTTAATTATGATGAAGCAACAAGCTACATATAGTCAAGAAAAAAAGTCACGTCAGTTTTAAGATCTATAAATACGTTTAAATTTGTCCTAAAAACCCTCTGGCCTAAGGGTAGTCTAAGGGCTACTGTCTCTATTATCACAGAATCTTACTGGCTACCATGTAACTAGAGTCACTAAATTACATTATATATATGTATGTTATATATACGTTATATATATATATGTGTATGTGTGTGTGTGTATATATATATATATATAAAACGTATATATATACTACTTAACCTAATAGCAGGACCCCAGAAAGCAAAATATATATTTCCCCACCTCCTCCCCTTCCCCGCTAGGGAGAGGGGAAAAAAAAAAATCAAACATATTTCCAAATAAGTTACTGAAATCATGTGGTCAAACATTTAAATAAAAATATACATAAGATGGTCCAAGGTACAACTGGAACTGTCAAGCAGGATTAACTCAAAGGATAATGTCTTATGAACTGTATGACAACATATATAACAGTTTTCAGTTAAGAGCTGGCTTGCCGGCAAATACCTTAATTAAAGATCTCATACAACTTCATCGTTTTCTCCCTTTTTAAGATGTGAAAAATAAAACAAGGAACCACAGCACTACTTAGTACCTAGGGACACAGTAAAAGTTCCTAGCAGGAAAAATGTCTCCCCGTTCTTGTGTCAATAAACAGATGGCACAATTTTGGAATTACAGAAATTAATGTAGCATATCTCCCAACACTTAAGTGAGAAAATACAATATCTCTGAAGTCTTTCTTGTAATTACAATCCTTCATTCACAAATTACTGTCTTATTACAACTTATTATAACAATAACATATATTACTCCTCTCAAAAAAAGCATTATCTATCCAAAAGCTGACTGATATGCAAAATATAGTAACAATAACAAATGTAAATTTCCATTTGTTATTAAAACTGTGGCATTCAAATTGTAAGCCACAAAAACTGCTGAATCTTACGCAGAAAAAGGATACCATTTTCACTTATGGAGAAGTTCCCTATTGTGGATTACAGTCTTCTCAATTATTACACTTTTGTTACTCAATGTGAAACACAAGCACACACACAAAAAAGGGGTCTTTCTTTCCTTTTTCTTATCCGTTTTCATTTCTTTCACACAAGGAGATGCTTTATACGTGTCATTGTTTTGTAGCCTAATTAGAGTTTTCCTATTCTATTATCTCAAACTTTTATCACAGCTTCTTACAACGGACTTCACGAAATTAAATTTTAAGGTTTAGATACTGTAAACGCTCGAGGAAAGACATTAGTATTCTCACTATTACATATTAAGGATTCTCTAGCTTGCAGTTAGGTGATTTTATAATACATGTAAATGCATATAATACACTTAAGGTGCATTATATACATGAAACGAAGTGTTCGTTTTATTTTATAAACTTTTTTTATTTTATAATACACGTAAATGCCTCGAGTGTATTATTATGTATTACATGAAATAAAGTGTTCACTTGAATTTTGCCTCCCTTCAGTCTATCTCTCTTCAGTCGAAAGAGATAAGTAGGCCTTTATTGTCCAAAAAAAAAAAAATTGTCCCAGCCTTTTCAAATGTCAGGTTAAACTGGCAGTCCTATGAATGCCACCTGCAACCTTACTAATGGAATAATTACTCAAAACGAGAAGCCCCCAAGAGTCCCGATCTCAAGTGGCTTCCTCCTATTATTCCCGCGAGGACCCCAGCGACAAGACTCGCCCAACCTGAGGCTCCTGGCTCTCTTTCCTCGTCCTGAGTCAGCCCTTCCCACTACTCATCCGGAGTAGACATCTTCCAACACCCGAACCTTCCAGACTTTCCCTCTTGCCCCCACAAACAAAAGCAACCCTCCTCCCTTGGGACACCCGGCTTCCCCTCTCTGCCGACCGGCCGCCCAGCCCACCTCGGCCCCAAGCACCCCTCCCCCATTTCACGCTCCGCCCGCGCTGACACGGAGCTGCCACCCCAACCCTTCTGTTTCGCACCTCTCTCCCGAGGGCTCCTCCTGGGCAGCCAGCAAACGCCCGCTCCTCGGCCCGCCCACCCAGCTGCCTGCAAACCCCGGGCCTGCCACTCCCTGTAGAGCCGCCGGGGCCCACCTCGAAGAGCTCGGCCGTGGTAGCCATCCCGGCCGGCTGAGAGGCTCGCCCCCCACTGGATGCCGTCTCCGCTTCACATGCTGCGCCTCAGAGGCGCGGCGCACAGGTCTCCGCTCGGCTCGCCAGCTCCGGCTCCGGGCCGCTGCGGGCTCCCCAGCTCCCCACAGATCCCAGGAGGGGCGGGAGAGCGGCCATGAAGCGAAGCCGCAAACGCTTGTCAGCTGCCTCCCGGCGCCGCCCGCGCTGCTCCCATTGTCACCGCCTCATACGCCGGAAGTGGAACTGCGCGCGCCAGGGAGGTTGTCGGGAGGGGCCGGCGAATAAAACGAGCGGCGAAAGAACCGAAAAAAGGCTCGACGCTACCGTGTATGAGGAACTTTGATCCTTGCGGGCCACCATTCCGGAAGTAGAATTTAGAGGAAGAAAATACCGGAGTTGCAGGGTATAGGTAAATTTCTCAAGGTTATAGGTTGGGGTTCTTAGAACTTTTTGTGGTGTGTGTTGGCCTAGAGCGACTCAGAAGCGTTAGTGACTTCACCTAAAAAAGCTAACCTCTCTGCTGAGCGCGACCGGTATGCGGCGCAGGATGAGCCTCAGGGCTTCTGTTAAGAGTCTGTCTGAGAAAGCCGGTCTGCGCTGTTCCTCGGTGGCGACCTTAATTATGAGATGAGCTAATGCTTTACTGACTTAACCATGGCGCAGCGGGCAGTGTGGCTCATAAGCCACGAACCGGGAACTCCACTTTGTGGCACCGTGAGATTCTCCAGGTAAATGCAAATCTGAATCCTCAGGGATGATGGATCAGAAGATCGATGAAGTAGCATAGTTTTGTGGTGCTTCGTGGCCCAGGTTTGCCACGAATAGCTGCGTGACCTTGGGCTAGCCAGTTAACAGACCTCTGTTTCGTCTGTTAAATGGAGATTTTAATAGTCCTACCTTACAGTGTTGTGAGAATTGAGTTGATGACTGGTACATATTATTTACGGTATATGTTTTCTATTAGTATTGTGTTTTAAAATGACCTCCGTCTGCTTAGAATTAAAATGGAGATGACTAAGGGAACGGTAGAAAATTTACTGAGCACTAAACATTTTCAGATTTTTCAACATGCATTGACAAAATCGTTCCAGAACATTTTAACTTATTCTACTGAAAAATCCATGCTAAGTTATATCAGACTTTTATTTTTTTGTTTTTATTTTTTTGAGACGGAGTCTCGCTCTGTTCCCCAGGCTAGAGTGCAGTGGTGCGATCTCCGCTCACTGCAAGCTCCGCCTCCCGGGTTCATGCCGTTCTCCTGCCTCAGCCTCCCGAGTAGCTGGGACTACAGGCACCCGCCACCACGCCCGGCTAATTTTTTGTATTTTTGGTAGAGAGGGGGTTTCACCGTGTTAGCCAGGATAGTCTTGATCTCCTGACCTCGTGATCCGCCCGCCTTGGCTCTCAAAGTGCTGGGATTACAGGCAGGAGCCACCGCGCCCCGCCCAGGCTTTTATTTTTATCTTGTTAATATGTGTCAATGGTAGAAATCATCAGTTTACAGTTCCTAATTGTTGAAGAAAATAGAAACACAAAAAAATGTATTCACTATTTCATATATTGTGTTAAGTTGATCTGGTCCCACTATTAGAATTTGCCCTGTGTAATCAAAATAGCTCTGTTAAGGGAATTGTACAGTAACTCATTGTAAAATGTTGGTGGCAATCGAGTGGGTCTATTTCACCTTTTATTCTCTGGCCATTGATAGTTCTTTTTTGTCACAATTCGTTCTTCCCTGAAGAAAGCTTATAGTGAAGTAGTACCATAGTAGAATTGAGATTGAGGCAGAAAAAAAAGATTTTAATTTTAAATGAAAATTGGTTGGCAATGGGGATATGAAAAATTCCTTCTTTGCAACCTTAACAGTTTTTGTTCCTGAGGGCATCAGAGTTGGAGTTTACCATTTCCCCCCAGGATTTCTGGCTGACACTAACCCCAACATTTGTTGTTGGACCTCAAATACAGGAGATTAATAATATTCTTTAGTACGTGGTTTTACCAGGCGCATCAGTCCGTACAAAGTATCTCTCATTTTACTTATATTCCCTTTGGTTACCTATTTCTAACTGCCGTTCCCTTCCCACTGACAGATAACTCTTAACATCTTCGATGTTACTCTTTTTCATTGTATGCATTTTTCAAATTACATAATTAAGTGTGCTTTAGACTTCACTTCCTAATGTTACATTTGTCACATTTCTCAACACTATTTTAAAGAAACATCCATGATACTTTGTGTTCATCTAAGGCAGCATGTCCAATAGAATTCTCTATGATGATGGAAAGGAGAAATGTTCTTAATCTGTACTGGCTAATACTGTAGCCACTAGCCACAAGTACCTATTGAGCTTTTGAGCTGCAGCTAGCATAACTGAGGAACTCAATTGTTAATTTTGGGTAATGTTAATTGATTTTTATTTAAGTTTAAATAGCCACATGTGGGTAGTTCTACTATGTTGGACAGTGCAAATCTAGGCCATTGTTTCTTCTTGCTCTGTAGTACTCATGGTTCACATCCTACACATTTACCTGTCCCCTTTACCTAGTGATGACCTCTCCCAAATTTGCCTCCAAAGAACACTGCCAAAGTATGCATCCTCAAATCTGTCCATGGGGCATGTCTATGCCGATTTTGACTAAAGACTGCCAAATAATCTGCTCCACAGAATGCTTTCAGCCACCTACGCACTCACTAGCAGCAAGAAGGGGTTCCCGTATCTCCATTCTTTCCTAACATGTAATTTTTGCCAATAAAGAACATCTTATTTTCGTTTGCATTTCTGTATGTAGCAATGATTGTTAGTCCTTTAAGTTTCCTCTACTGTGAATTGCCTGTACATGTCTTGTCCTTTTTTTCTTTGAAAGTTGCTTATTTTTTCCTCTGAATTTGTAGGAGTTTGTTTTGTATTCTTGGTATTAGTCCTATGTCATTTTTAGATAGTACAGATATTTTCTTTAATTTACCATTGTCAATTAACTTTATGTTGCCCTTGGTTAAACAGAAATCACTAATTTTGATGCAATCAAACTAGTTAATTGCTTTTGGGAATTTGTTGAAGTTTTTTCTCACCCATATTTCCCAAAAATATCTTCCTACATTGTCTTCTCTTTATAATTTCATCTGCTACATTTAGGTCTTTAACCCATATGTAGTCCATCTTTGGATATGATGTTAAGTAGGAATCCCATTTCGGTTTTCTCTGTAGTGTGGGTCAGTTTTTCTGACATCATCTTTTAAGCAGTATGTCATGTCTTCATTAATTTGTGAGGCTACTGGTAGTGTTAGTTATGTCCCCTCATATAAATGTTGGTCTGTCTCAGTTCTAGTACTTTGTCTTTCTTGTACCAATACAATATCTGTTGCTTTGTAGCTTATCTTAATATTTCATAGAGGTGAACTTTTTACTGCTTAAGTAAATAAGTTTCTTAAATCCTAGTTTTCAGAATGTTTTTTCACTGTGTTCAGGATATTATTTCAGAATAAAAAGTCAGATATGTTTGGATGGGCTTTTCAATACATTTATGGAGGTAGCAAGTTGTGTTCAAATAATTTAATTCTGTATCATTGAATGACTTAGTTAAATTTTATTATATTTTCAGTTTTCTAACCTCTTGGGGGAGGTGTTAGAGCTACACAGATAGGCACTGACACTTTATAAGTGTCAATAAGTGGCCAATATTTAAGATTTAAGAAGGCAAATGATGTTTTCTCTATCTAAGTACTTATTTCCTATAACAAAACTTGGTTAAGATTCTGGTTTAAAGGTTTGCTTTCCAGATAATAATAGCATCAGCTTACATCTGGCTTAGGTCGGTATCATACCCCATAGTTGTAGGCCCATTTAAGCCTTGAATCCTGTTTTAGAAAAAGCATATAATAAATTAGAAATGATAGGTTGAGTCATCCAACAAAATATTTATTGAACACATATTGGGGTGTTGTGTAAGTTCCCAGATTAACTTATCTTCACAGTCAATTGTGAAATTTTTATACTTAAGAACTTTAATTACCCTCTGGAAAACTAGATAATAAGAGATTGGACTAGAGTTTAGTCCAGAGATCTCTACTATTCATATACAGAGATTTAGAGAAATAAATGGCATTTACCTGCTATGCCATGCCATTACTGGTGTGCTACCTGATTCTTCCCCTTTCTTAATCAAGAAAATGCATCAGAATGTAGGTGATATTTACCTACACATGGGTAACTGCTTTTGGGTTTTTTGTTTGTTTGTTTGCTTGCTTGCTTGCTTGGTGTTTTTCTTTTTGTTTGTTTGTTTTTTGAGATGGAGTCTCACTCTGTTGCCCAGGGTGGAGTGCAGTGTCACAATCTCGGCTCGGCTCGGCTCGGCTCATTGCAACCTCCACCTCCCGGGTTCAAGATTCTCCTGCCTCAGCCTCCCGAGTAGCCAGGATCACAGGCGTGCACCACCACAACCAGCTAATTTGTGTATTTTTAGTAAAGTCAGGGTTTCACCGTGTTGGCCAGGCTGGTCTCAAACTCCTGCCCTCAAGTGATCTGCCCACCTCAGCTTTCTGAAGTGCTGGATTAGCCATTGCACCTAATCTACATATGGATAACTTTGAATACATTCTTACTTATATTTTTTTAAAATATTAGTAAACATCAATATTTTTTAATAAAAAACTGTTTTAGCCAGGTATGTTTTTGACTGTTGGTAAAAACTGCTGATTTGTTGCCACCCCTTTATTTACAAACGAGAAAATAGGCAAAGGGAAGTTAAGTGATTTACTCAAAAGTTAACAGCTGATAAATGACATTGTTCTGGACTTTGGAGTGGAGGCAGAAGGAATGAGGAAAAGTACATATTTTGGAATTGAGAAACTGTGATCTAACAGATTTCTGTAAATAAGCAAAAGCATCTTCTGTTTCCAAGCAAAGAAAAGATAAATTAGTAACTGCTTACAGTTCAACTCAGAATATGCAAAAACATTCTGATTTTATTCTTTTTTATTATCTAAAAGTATCTTCCAGGGCCATAGAGATAAACCATTATTACTAAAATGATCTTCCATGTTTTTGTAGGGATTGGCAAGAAGACTCAGGGTACCTGTCATTCACTATAAGTTAAGTAGAATAGAACATTCCTTTTAAAATTGTACCATCTCAACTAATGAATCCAAAATTATGGAGGGTTAAATTGAACCACTTTGTTAGCCCTACTCTAGCTACTAAGATAGAATCAGAAGAAAAAAAATTCTTATAGATGCCTAAAACGGTTCAAGTATATACTCCTTGCTGACCAAGATGGTATCTGAGTGGCTGAGAGACACGGATTTTGAATTACAATCATGTACTCTACCTAAACTAGATAACTAAATTGAATTAAGCATTTTGAATAACAGATTATATACCAGATATGAAACAGTCACTCTAATAGTAACTTAATGGTCATTATAATTTTTTGGTTGTTGGCTTTTGTGGATGTGTGTATATATTTGTTTCTCGTGTATTTTATTGTTATTACTGTTTGCCTTATATTTGAGAGTTTTAAAAAAATTCTTTCATCTTGATTTTACTTGGAAGAATCATTTATAATGTTTCTGTTTCCGTAATGCAGACGGTATCCAACTGTTGAAAAACGAGCCAGAGTCTTCAATGGAGCAAGTTATGTGCCTGTTCCTGAAGATGGTCCCTTTCTTAAAGCACTGCTCTTTGAACTTAGATTATTGGATGATGATAAAGACTTCGTTGAGAGTCGTGATAGCTGTTCACGCATCAATAAAACATCCATTTATGGACTCCTGATAGGAGGTGAAGAACTCTGGCCAGTTGTTGCTTTTCTGAAGAATGACATGATATATGCTTGTGTTCCACTAGTTGAACAAACTCTGTCCCCTCGTCCGCCACTAATTAGTGTCAGTGGAGTTTCACAAGGCTTTGAATTTCTTTTTGGGATACAGGATTTTCTTTATTCAGGTCAAAAAAATGACTCTGAGCTGAATACAAAATTGAGCCAGTTGCCTGACTTGCTTCTGCAGGCTTGTCCATTTGGTACTTTATTAGATGCCAACTTACAGAATTCATTAGATAATACCAATTTTGCATCTGTGACTCAGCCACAGAAACAGCCAGCTTGGAAAACTGGGACGTACAAAGGAAAACCACAAGTTTCTATTTCTATCACTGAAAAGGTAAAATCCATGCAATATGATAAACAGGGTATAGCAGATACATGGCAAGTTGTTGGAACAGTGACTTGCAAGGTGAGATTTTTCTCTGGTACTTGCTTTATCGTTTTATTTAACATATGGAGAAAAGTTAAATTTGCTAGTTGTATTTTAAATAACATTTTTTATTTTCATCTTAAGCAGCAGTTTTTAAATGGGAGAGTCATGTAAAATTTTATGTTATCTTTTTGCATTCCTTACCAATTATATTAGTTATCTGTGGCTGTGTAAAGAATTGTCTCATTGTCCCCAAAATAGACATTTATTATTTTCATAGTTTCTGTAGGGATTAGCTTAGCTGGGAACTTTCAGGGTAGAATCACTCATGAAGTTGCAGTCAAGTTTTCAGTTGAGGCTATAGTCATCTGAAGGTCTGACTGAGGCTGGAAGATCTGCTTGCAAGATGACTCACTCACATGGCTAACAAGTTGGTCCTAGTTATTGGAGGAAGGCCTTAGTTCCTTTCCACATGGACTTCTCAACTGGCTGCTTAAGTGTCCTCACACTTGGTGACTGGCTTCCCTCAGACCAGATGATGAGAGAGGGGTGGGGGGGGGAGAGAGAGAGGAGAGAGAGAGAGAGAGAAGAGAGAAGAGAGAGAAGAGAGAAGAGAAAAGAGAGAGGAGAGAGACAGGCAGGCAGGCAGGCAGAAGCGATTATTTTTATTACCTAGCTGGGAGGTTACACTTCCACTACTTTCTGTTCATTAGAAGCAAGTCACTAAGTGGTCCATATTCAAGGGGCGTGGAATAAGGCTCCACCTATGAAAAGAGTAATGTCAAATAACTTCAGAACATATTTTAAAGTCACCACTGCTGTTTTCCATTTTCTTTAGAGGGATGAAATTGACATCTCTGACATATCTAAAATCATGTTGAAGGGCTCTTATTTAAACAAGTCGTTAGGTTAATATTGGGTTCTCTGTAGAAATAGAAAACAGGAAAACACAACGTAAATAACAATACAGTTAGCAGTGATTAATGCCATGTTGAATAATGATCAAAAATAAAATCCTCCAGGTAAACTTCCTACAAGTTTATATTAATAGTATTCTCATTTCTTTATTTTTCTATCTTCCTTTATTCCCTGCAGTTACGTATACTTTTTATATGTCAAATTTAATGTTGTGTGGCTATGTATAAATATTATAGAATAAAACTAGAGTTCAAGAGCAGAGAATTAGAACAGTCCTGACAGAAAAATTGGGTCTGTCTTTTTTTTTTAATCCTGTTTAACGTTAAAGTTACCTAAAAGTTTTTGTGTCTATTTTAAACTCATATCTATCATGGTCAAAAATATACTCCAGTTACTCACTTTATTAGAAATAACTATTGTAAATGGCTCCAAAATTGAGGTGTTCATGGATTATGTCATTCTTAAGTTTTAAAGTAGTTAAATCTTTTTTCTCCTAAGTTCAATGAAATGAAAATAGAAAAATATGGCCTGGCGCAGTGGCTCACTCCTGTAATCCCAGCACTTTCAGAGGCCAAGGCGGGCGAATCACTTGAGGCCAGGAGTTTGAGACCAGCCTGGCCAACATGGCGAAACCCTGTCTCTACTAAAAATACAAAAATTAGCCAGGCATGTTGGAGCATGCCTGTAATCCCAGCTATTCAGGAGGCTGAGGCATGAGACTCGCTTGAACTGGGAGGCAGAGGCTGCAGTGAGCCACAATCATGACACTGCACTCCAGCCTGGGTAACAGAGCTATACTCTGTCTTAAAAAAAAAGAAAATAGGAAAATTCACCAATTCTGTTTTTTTTTTTTTTTTCATTCTGTAGCAATAAACAGGGAATATGTTATTTATTATATAAGCTAATTAATATCATGGCATTTAATGTCTCTGTTCATCGATAGGCTGACTCCAGTTTACTCTTAGGAGAATTTCAGATTGGTTCCTACTCTTAGTCCTGATACAGATTATCATGATGGACAACTTCCTTATTTAAAAAATGTTTTTAAGTGGGGAGAAAATGGGGCTATACCTTAACCTACATACTAAATGTTTCTTTAAGGTTGTATGTACATAGTATAACTGTTAGCCAAACATTCTTTAAGTACTTCAGAAAGTTACTGTTTAAAGGAATTGTATTGTGAAGCCCATTATAAATGGAAATAATCATCTTCATTTTATCCTACTCGGTAGAAAACCAGAGCCAAAGGCCAGTGGTCCAAAGTTCTAGACCTCACTCTACCACTAATTTTCTGTATGTCTTTAGAAAGTTACACAATTTTGTGAATCTTTTCTCATTTTTAAAATGAGATAAACTCTTAGGTGCCTTTTTTTTTTTTTTAAATAACTTTTACTTCTAAAGTTGGGTTACATATGCCAGATTGGTTTAAAGGTAGTACACCAATTCCTTCTAGAATGGATGTTCTCAACCTATAGTAAATAACTGATGATCCGGCATTTTAAGTGTGCAGATAGATTCATCGGCAGGTTCCATGATGGTTGATCTTTCTCTGACCCTTTACGAATGTTAAGAGATTAATTTGCTAAGTATAAACTGAATATTATTAAATTTTAATGGTATTTACTATTGATGTTTGCTTATTTTGTCTCCATAAATATCTATCAAAAGCAAAACTACTTTTCATTTATTCTTATTAGTTCACATATAGAAAATAGCAGATGGTTTAAAAGTTGAAACCCTAAAATTTTTTTTAAGTTTTAAAGTAAGATTATTTGGCATATTTATTATTAATGTGACTGACATTATTGTAATTGTCACTGACAGACCTTATAAAGGCACTAATTGTATATACTACTCTTCGTAATGCCTGCCTGCTCTGTAAGTACTTACATTGTAAAGCAGATACATAATGAATTCCCACACATGTCAAATAGTAGGTAAAACATTAAAAGTGAAACATTTCACATTAGAAATTGAAAACAAAAGTAGGTTTATAATTAGAAAAAGATAGCCACTCAGCAAACATTTTTTATTATTGTTTTCTACGCATAGAAATGTGTCAGGCACTAGAGATACTAAGAAAAATGTAACGATTCTTGCTTTCAAAGAATTTAAAGCTTGAAAAGAGAAATGGACCAGATACCTGTAGATAGTGGACAGTTAATGCGTGGTGCAATCTAATATATGATAGTGCATTAGGAGCTAAGTGTTATGCTTTGAGAGTTCACTAACTCTTAAAATATTTCTGCTGAAACAGAAGATATCAATAATTCTTATGGGGCCCAGTTGGTCAGTTTGATCCAGGCTTTAATAGAGGTGAATTTCAAGATAGAGGTACAAAGACCCTGACTACCTACACAAATACAAGTAAAGTATATCAGTCTGGTTGGGCCAGAAGAAGCCCAACCAGATTTATGGGAATAAAGATGTCTAATATAGAAATTAGGGCTTATTCAAGAAGCACTGAGGAAATAAGTCTTTGATCCTCTAGCCGTAGCCTTTCGGAAACAGTCACTAAAGACTTCAGTCTGGAGACTGGAGGAGATAGACAAATCAAAAGTTCACAAAGAAGTCTGAGAAACTGCCATATCTGTCTGTTATGACCTCACAGTGGAAATTCAAGGAAAGGTCCGCAGAAGTGCAGCATCTGGCCACTTTGGCCTTAAAGTAGGAGCTCAAGGACAGGTTTGAGAGGCTGTCCTGTCTGGCTTCAAAGAACTTTCAAGAAAAATTACTTCCTTTTTTCTTTTCCCTTGTGAATCTCTCATGAGTACCTCTCATTGGCAAACTAACCCAGACTACATAGGGAAGAAGATCCTGGGCTTCTCTACATAGCAAAGGTAGGCTGTAGAGGTGATACAGAATGTAAGGCTTCACACATAGCATCTAATGAGCTAAGACATGAAGAATGAAAGCATTTACAGGGAGAAAAGAACATTGCAGCTGCAAGGAATAGCACATGCAAAGGTGCATTTGGAGGTATAAGACAGTATGATTTATTTAGGGAAATGCAAGAATCCAATATGACTACGTGTAAGTTGCAGGGTAGAAAATTTTTAAGCAGGTAGATGAAGAAAAACAACCCCATTAAAAAGTGGGCAAAAGGCATGTACAGACCCTTCCCAGAAGAAGACATACATGCAGCCAAAAAACATGATAAAAAGCTCAACGTCACTGATCATTAGAGAAATGCAAATCAAAACCACAATGAGATACCATCCAACGCCAGTCAGAATGGCTGTTATTAAAAAGTTAAAAAACAACAGGTGCTGGCAAGATTGCAGAGAAAAGGGAACACTTTTACCGTGTTGGTGAGGATGTAAATTAGTTTAATCATTGTGGAAGACTGTGGCGATTCCTCAAAGACATTGAGGCAGAAATACCATTTGACCCAGCTATTCCATTATTGGGTATATACCCAAAGAAATATAAATCATTCTGTTATAAAGATACATACACACGTATGTTCATTGCAGCACTATTCACAATAGTAAAGACATGGAATCAACATAAGTGCCTATCAGTGATAGACTGAATAAAGAAAATGTGGTACATATACACCATGGAATACTGTGCAGCCATAAAAAGGAATGAGATCATGTCCTTTGCATGGACGTAGATGGAGTTGGAAATCATTATTCTCAGCAAACTAATGCTGGAACAGAAAACCAAACACCTCATGTTGTCACTTATAAGTGGGAGCTGAATGACGAGACCACATGGTCACAAGCGGGGAACAACAACACTGGGGCCTGTCAGTTGTGGGGGTTAGAGGAGGGAGAGCATCAGGAAGAATAGCAAATGGATGCTGGGCTTAATACCTACGTGATGGGATGATCTGTGCAGCAAAACACCATGGCCCACGTTTACATATGTAACAAACCTGCACATCCTGCACATGTACCCTGGAACTTAAAAGTTGAAGGAAAATAAAAAGGAGGTAGATGACAGTCAAACAATGAAAGGCTTTACAGGTAATACAGAATTGAAGTAGAATCACTGAAAGGATTTGAGCATGGAAAAAATATAATAAAAATTATGTTTCATTAAGATAGCTCTGGCATTAATGGAGGATTAGAGGACTGATTAGAGGAAAGCAAGTCCAGAAATATTTAGAAGGCTGTGGCAGAAATTGTAAGGGCCCATGTCAATGTGTTTCAACAGGAATGGAGAAAATTCAGCAGATTTAAATTATCTTTGTAAGAGCTTTAGAGATAAGCAATGGAGTCTATGAGGGCTCTCCTGGTCTCTGGCTTGGGTGTCTAAGAACATGATAAAACCATTAATAAGAACACAGAAAGCAAAGAGAACAATACCTAGAGAAAAGTGAGTTAATTGGGGAAAATGACTTTGATAAATTTTGAAAAGCCTCAAACAGACATTTGCTTCTGAGATTTTGGTGATAATCTTTCTGTTTGCATTTCAGTGTGATTTGGAAGGAATCATGCCAAATGTTACCATCAGCTTGAGTCTCCCCACCAATGGATCTCCACTTCAGGATATTCTAGTTCACCCTTGTGTAACTTCTCTTGACTCTGCAATTCTGACTTCTAGTAGTATTGATGCAATGGATGACTCTGCATTTAGTGGGCCTTACAAATTTCCATTCACTCCACCTTTAGAGTCATTCAACTTATGCTTCTACACTTCCCAGGTAACAACCCTAGAATAGTTGAGAGTTTGCTGATCTTTATATTCATAAATACTATTGATAAGTAGATAATTCATACTCTTGGTATGAGAACTTAGAAAAAGTTCTATTTATCAGACAATAATTGATGATTGAAGATGAAGATTTAGACCAGGCACGGTGGCTCATGCCTGTAATCCCAGCAGTTTGGGAGGCTGAGGCAGGTGGATCACTTGAGGTCAGGAGTTCGAGGCCAGCCTGGCCAACACGATGAAACCTTGTCTCTACTAAAAATACAAAAAGTTAGCCAGGCGTGGTGTCATGCACCTGTAATCCCATCTACTTGGGTGGCCGAGGCAGGAGAATCGCTTGAACCCAGGTGGCGGAGGTTGCGGTGAGCCAAGATCGCACCAGCGCACTCCAGCCTGGGCGACAGAGTGAGACTCCATCTCAAAAAAAAAAAAAAGATTCACTTATTTGAATAAGATACCTCTTATCTTTGGTGTCGGTAACTATTTGTAAATAGCTTTCAAAATAATTGAACTTTTTTTTTAATATTCCCTAAAAAGGAGTTCATGGTCATGGGATAGATTTTGGTATGATTTAGTCATGATTTTAACCATGAACATAAAATACCCCTCATCGCAGGCAACCTGAATTACAAATATATATTATTATTAATAGCTATTTATTGTTTATTGAATAATTGCTTGTGTGTCAGACATTGTCCTAAGCACTTTACATGTATTTTCTCTAGTACTGTAGTACTGCTAACAACCTTTAGATTAAACATTATCCCCATTTTACAGCTGAGGAGAGTCTCAAAGAAGTGAAATGACTTGCACCACGTCTATAGTTGATAAATGAAACTGCCTGGATTTGAACCCCAATTTTTCAGACTTCCAAACCTCGTTTCTACTATACCATTTATCTCTTGTCCTAGTTGTGAATGAGTAGGTTAGAAAAACCTACTCAAGCTAGCTTAAGTAGAGCAAATTTATTTTGAGAATGCAATAGGCAATCTCATTGCCATTTAAGGATAAGAAAAGAAGCAGACACAGTTCTTACTGGGACTAGAACCAGAAAATTAGTATCAGCCTGTACTCAAGGTCCACCCTGTCTGTCACATCTCTGCTTCTCAGTCTCCTCTTTCAACTGGCTTTCTCTGCTTACACATGACCTTACAGCTTTAGGGCTTGCCCTGTATAAGTAGTCTTTCTGTGTCTTACTTCACATGTACCAGAAATAATGATTGGCTCACCCCAGCCTACAAGTTGTTTCCTCTTCAGTCAGTCATTGATGACCAACCAAGTAAGTTACTGCTGAACGATGGGATTGGAGAACTCATGGGATTCAATTGGAGCAACAGGAGCTGTGGGCAGGTTGGCAGTAATCAGTATGCCTACTGCATGCCCTATGCGGCAGATCAGAGAACATGGAGACGGGGAGCCTGGACGAGCAAGTATAGGAACAAGAATGCATTGTACACCTTTGTAAAGCGCTTTTCTCATCTCCGAAAACAAAGAGAGAAGAATCCCTATCCTTAAGATGAATATAGATTCATCATTGCTGTTACCAAAACAACTTGGAATAATCTCCAAGTCATTAAAAGTAACTCTTTTCTCAGTTACTTTTGTTGTTTTAGACTCATTAACCTGAGAATTATATAGACATTTATGTTTCTTTTTAGGTCCCTGTCCCACCAATTTTGGGTTTTTATCAAATGAAGGAGGAAGAAGTACAACTAAGAATAACCATTAATTTAAAACTTCATGAAAGTGTGAAAAATAATTTTGAATTCTGTGAAGCCCATATACCTTTTTACAATAGGTAGGAATAAAATGCATATTGCCATAATTTCTGTCTTCCTTAATACATTTCCACTGTCCCACAGTAAATTGTCTTTGTCTTTTACCTTATTTTTAAGGTCTGAACAATTTTATTTTATTTAAATGAATGCTGATTTTCATGATATAGTCATAAAAATAATCTGTTTACCTTTAAATATGCCTTTATCTTTCTAGTTAAACTTACTAGTAAATTATACACTTAAGCCAATGTAGCTTCCTCAGGGATTATTTTTCTACCGGATTTATTTCTAGCAATTTTTCCATATACAAGTCAAACCAAACTATCAACAACCTGGTGAATTAGCCAATTATATCATAATATTACTTTATTATCAATTCTACTTTTAAATTTATTCTGTAGCATAGTTTTTTGTCAAAATATATCTACATATATAGTAAAATCATAGTCATTGTAGCAACCCATGTGACCGTATTAATACATTTCGTATGATTTCATAGTTGTCTTAAGGATTAATAATGAAATACACATCATCACCAAAAATGTTTATGTGTGCTTGTTGTTTTTCAAGATTTAACATTCATTATTTGTTCTATTCTGCAAACTTGAATACAGATCTGCTTTTATGCTGTCCTTGTATTAAGTAACAGTGGCCAAGTTTGACTTAGATCTCTTAAAACTGTTATATCTATGATCTTTTTCTATTTTATCCTTTTCTTTTTAAAGAGGTCCAATTACACATTTGGAATACAAAACTAGTTTTGGCCAGCTTGAAGTATTTCGAGAGAAAAGCTTATTGATCTGGATTATTGGTGAGCAAGTTTTATTTATTGATTTTTTTTCTTTTCATTTACTGTAGAATCTACTTAATTTAGAATTGTTTATTGGTATATTTGTGTTTTAGGCCAGAAGTTCCCAAAATCAATGGAAATTAGTCTTTCTGGAACTGTAACTTTTGGAGCCAAGAGCCATGAGAAGCAGCCATTTGACCCAATTTGTACTGGAGAAACAGCATATTTAAAGGTAAACATATTTATACAGCTCACTACAGTAGCACCCTTCCTTTGTTTATAAATTGCATATTTCTAGTTGATTTTTAATGTTTTCCACCAATTGTTTTAGAATTCTGTTCTTTTAGTCTGGGATAAGTTCTCTTTTGGATTTTTGTTTGATTTTTTGTTGTTGTTTAGTATTAGTCACTTCTATTTCACTTAATACTTGAACATTTTAAAAAGCCAGGCATAGTGGCGGGATGTCTGTAGTCCCAGCTATTGGGGAGACTGAGGTGGGAGGATCGCTCAAGCCCAGGAGTTCAAGGTTACAGTGAGCTAAATTGTGCCACTGCACTGCAACCTGGACAACAGAGTGCGACCAGATCTCTTTTAAACAAGGGTTTTTTTGTTTGTTTGTTTGTTTGTTTTTAAACGGAACCAGCTAACCTAATACCCAACTTAGTCTAATTCTACTCAGCTCTTGGTTATCAAATTTGAGATTTGGGCCAGGCATGGTGGATCCCACCTATAATCCCAGCACTTTGGGAGGCCAAGGCAGGTGGATCGCTTAATCCCAGGAGTTCAAGACCAGCCTGGCCAACATGGTGAGACCCCGCCTCTACAAAAAATAGAAAAATCAGCTGGGCATGGTGGTGCACACCTTTAGTCACAGCTTTTTGGGAGGTTCAAATAGGAGAATCACCTAAGCCTGGGGAGTTCGAGGCTGCAGTGAGCCATGATTGTGCCACTGCATTCCAGCCTGGGCGATAGAGTAAGACTCTGTCTCAAAAACAAAAAAATTGAGATTTGTATACAGAAAATAGAAGATGTAGTCCTTGCCCTCCAGGAATTTTTCAGTGTTGCACATCAACAATTTATCAGTGCTAACAGCTTTGGTATTTCAAGAAAAAGGTGCTACAGCTGAAGTTGTGGAAAGCTTTACAATGGAGGTGAAGTTTAAGCCAAACTCTGAGGCCTAGTAATGCATGAATATGAAGACTTGAAGATTGACTAACATTTGTTTAGGTAAAGAAATTACTTAAAAGAGTAAAGAAGAATAAACAAGGCATGCTTAGAAACCAGTGCTAAAAATAGTAGTACTATGAGAGACTGGATACATAATTTAGATTAAGATTATAGAGGGTTTGAATCTTACTTTTATTCCTTTGGTTGATGGTGTACTTTTTAAAGTAGGGGATAGTCTTTCACAAGTGATACTTTATGAATGTTAATCTGGAATGGATGTAAGGAAGGTGAGTAAAAAAATTAGAGACAAGCCATTCTGTAACATATTAATATTCCATATGAAAGGGTAATATTGTAATAAGTTAATAATGCTGAGTTAGTGTAGTGTCAACAGAAAGAGAAAAGAAGGGAGAAGGGAGAAAAATGAAGGGACTGCTGTAAAAGCTGTGATAAAATAAAGCCTTGACCACTAATTAAATACAGAGACAAGGAATGGTGTTGTTCCAAGATGATATTGTTTAAAAAAAAATGGAACTTAAACCAAACTTGACGCTTTTTAAGAGGGTAGAGACGTGAATCTCATTCATTCATTGTTTTATTCCAAATATCTAGTCCAGGACCTAACACATAAATATTTGCTGAATGGATGAATATACCTAAATTATTGATATGGAGAAAATTGGGAAGAAATGGGTTTCATATCATATTTTTTGCTGGCAATAGCAATATAGCCCATTGTAAATGTTCAGTGGGTAGCTAAAAATCTAAAGCTTGATTCTTAAGAGAAGGCTCAGCTGTATACAGGATTTAGGAATTAGCCACAGAGAACAAATAGTTGAGGCAGTGGAAATAAATAAGATCAGAAAAGGATAAAATAATACAGGAAGATTAAAAAAAACAAATGAGGGAATTGAAGGAGTGATTAGAAAGGTAGCAAGAAAACATAAAAAATGTATTAAAGACATCAAGAGAAATACAGACAATTAGGGGAAGTGGTAGTGAAGTCAGAAGTATACTGATGATAATTCATTTCTTCTATCTTGGCTTCACTTATGTCCAGAAGCTTTGTTTCAAGGATTATTATAAAAATTCCTACTTCAGATACCTTTCAGAAAAAAATGTGGAATGTTACCACACATTCTATGTCCTTCAAAAGTAGGAATTACGATTTTTCTATTCATTCCCATCACCAACCAGTTACACTCACATTGAAAGCATGTAGCACATATTTTTGTTGACTGAATGATCTAAGTGTGTTTTACAGTATTTCAGTTGTATGGAAATCAGTCTTGTCATAACTTCCAGCATTAAGAATTATACCAAAAAAGCACGCAACAGCCTTTTATTATCAGAGATAATTTGGGTTGCAAAAGGAAAAAAAAAAATTGCTGAGAAGATCTGAAAATTACATTACATTCTAAATCACATCTTATGCATTAGTTCTGTAAAAGTTAAATTTCACCCTTCTGGAAAATTAGCGCAGCTCATTCCCTCTAAACACAAGATAAACTGATGTTTCTGTTTTCATAATTAAATTATATTTTATTAGAAGGTGTATACTTTCCTGCCTGTAAAAGACTTATGATCTAGAATATATCATAGCCACATAGCCCTAGGGATAGAAGAGAATATAGGGCATGCAAGACAGTAGCACGGGGGAGACAGCACCAGCTTTTGGAGTCGGTAAGGTCTGAGTTCAAATGCCAGCTCTGCTGCTTACGTGCTGGGATACCAATTGCTTCCATCTTTGCACGTCAGTTCACTCAGCATACCTTGCAGTATGGATTAGAGCTGTTAGTGAAGTGCGTATTATGTGTTAAGTACTTCATAATGACAGCCTTACAAAAAAATGGCCCTAATGCAAACGGAAAAAAAAACTGTGTGTGTTTTTGTATATATATGTGTGCGCACACACACAATTCAAGTTTAGTACTTGTGGTTTTTATTTTGTGAACTGTGTAAAATAAATTCCCTAAGACTGGGTTAAGGGAAAAAATGTAACCATGCTTTTTACCAAATAATCACCTTAATTTGGTACATTTCTCTCTTCTTTCTAGCTTCATTTTAGGATCTTAGATTACACACTTACTGGATGTTATGCAGATCAGCATTCAGTTCAAGTTTTTGCATCAGGAAAACCAAAAATAAGTGCACGTAAGTTACACAGATTCAAACTAACTTAAGGGAATTAAAATGGTGTTTGCAGTTATTACCTAAGGTAAAATTTGAATGTAACAGAACTTAGAGATTAGAGAATAATCCCAATTTATAAAATTCTGGGCTGATTCTACCCCACATAACAGTTTGTGTACTTTACACTGCCCTCTGCCGCCTTCTTGTTTATAAAGTGGTCTGGATAAGCAAAGATTGGGATAGAGGGGAACTTCAGTGTAAAATTGGATTTGTTTTTCTCTGGTTATTCAGAGATGTGATTCACAGAGACTGTGATGTTGGACAGACAGGGCTTAAGCCTGGCTCAGCCATTTCATTAGCTGTATAACTTTGGGCAAGTTAGCGAACTTCTTGAAGTTTTAATTTTCTTGTGTATAAAATGGAAATAATAGTGCGATTTACCTCAGGATTGTTATGAGGTTTAGATAAGATTATATTGACTTAGTATGATGCTTAGTGTATAGTATAGATTTAGTAGATACTAGAGATGATTCTTATTTAAAACTTTTAAATATCTTTAGCAAATGTTGCAATCAATAAGCATTATTTAGCACCTTCTCTATTCTATCAATAGGAAGACAATAAAAAAGACGTTTCCTGATTTTAGTATGTTTAATGGTTGGTAAAGTATAGATCTATATGTGTGTACACACACACATACACACACACACACACACACACACACACACGAAACATATGAAAATATGAGACAAAAAACAATTTATAAATGAATCAAAAGTATTTAATTCAGATCAAATAGAAATATGTAACATCGAATAGTAGCTAAAATGAGGTAGAGTTATCTAAACTTAAACAACCTTTTTGCCTCATACATTAAGGAGAATAAAGCTGTTATATATGTGGATAAGAATAATCCCAATTTACACACATTTTTATTATTATAGTTAGATAAATATTTCTTAAACTAAGGATTAGGGTTCCTAAAATAAAAAGAATAGGAAAGGACTCTCCATGTACATTTCAAGAGAATTAGAGAACTCAGAACTACAGAATTCTAAGCAACTATTTGTGCTTGTCAATATAATTTCTACTATGTAATGTAACCAGAATAAACCAGTATTCTTTACTTCCCTAGGCTTGCCCTGTGTTTTCTCTTACATCATTTTTTTGTTGTATATATGAGAGACTGAAAGCAAACAGACCAGTATTTTAGATTGTCTATGGGAAAATAATTTATTTATGTTAACTAAACATACTGCAGTAATTTCCAGAGAACATAATACAAGATAGGAACATACCTGCTTCTTAATACAAAATATGTTGAAAGAACTCATTTTAAATTAATATTATGACCCATCTTTTCTTTCCTCTGTTAGTTTCAGAATGTGACTGCCAGTTTGTGCAATTATGTAAAACTTTATTTTGCCATCATCTTGACAATAAAATCTATTTTCATAATATACAACTTAGTTTAAAAATAGTTTAGTAATAATAATACCAATTTAAATAATAATGGCTAATATTTATTGCTTACTATATGCCAGGCAAAGTTCTAAGTGTTTTATGTGCATTGTCTCATTAATCCTCACAGCACCCTATGTAAGTGTTGTTATCTCCATTTTACAGATGAGGACACTGATGGAACTGAGAGATTAGGGTCCCATAGCTTGCAAATGGCAGAACTGCGAGTCAGATACTCAAGCATTCTGGCTCTGGAATCTGTCCACTTAACAGTATGCTGTCTTGCCTCTCATTGTTACTGCGTTCTCAAACTTTGAAGAGAACAAAAAAGACAATATAGTCTATATTCTTTTCATTATGAAGAAGGGCATGAAGAAGAAAGGTAGAACAGGCTGAATTGGATAATTATATTTAATTGGATATTTAATTATATATATATATAAAGAATTTACATGTGTAACTCCAAATGAACATTATTATCTCAACTTTACATATCAGAAAACTTTAGTTCAAATAGGTTGCCATTTTTGTAGAGTTTCAAAGCTATTTTTAAAAAGGCTTAAATTGATCAGAACTATAATAAGAAACCAGTGAAGCAAACTATTTAGAATGTTGCTAGGAAGTTAGGTGTTAATTTATATCTCTGACACTTTGGGTAAAGAATAGCAAGACCCAGAATCAGGGCTATGGTGATAAGGTTATAGAAGAGAAACCAATGAAAAATTTTTAATGTTTTTGCAGTCAGAGTAATGGTCCATACGAAAAAGATTTTAGAGAAAATGTGAAGATAAAATTGGCAGATTTGGCATAAATGAGAGATATTTCATATAAGGTCAAAGATGGATTCTTCAAATATTTAATGAGTCTATATTTGTAAAATGGTAAAAGTTATAATAAAGTCTTGATAATATGAAATTAAAATGAATATTTCAAAGTATTGACTTGAAATAACTGCATTCCACAATTTCAAAAATCATGACTTTGCTCTCGTTGAATTTTTGCTGAAATAGTCTTATCATTAATTTCTTTTTCTTTTCTTTAGACCGGAAACTAATTTCTTCTGATTATTACATCTGGAATTCTAAAGCCCCTGCTCCAGTAACATATGGATCATTATTATTGTAATAGTCTCATGTTTAAATGGGATTATATAATGATAACAGTTTAAAGAAAATCATAATCTTATATTTTTAATGTGGATGCATATAACCTGTGAGTGAAAAATCACTGAATGATTTAATTGTAAAAGTAGTCTTATGTGGTGTTTGTAGTCTGATAGAGCTTGAAAGGACATTTTAAAAGCTAATGTCTCCAATTTTGTTAACCTTCGATTTTATGCCAGTATAATTCAGAACATAGAAAAGTAATGATTCACTTGGGCTCATTTTAGACTGGTCCTGGGTCACCCTGCCACACTTGTTTCCTAGTGTTTCTGTGGCAGACATTGCTAATCAATTACAGCCCTTTTCTGTACTGAGCCTTGGATAAAGGGTCAGGCTCCTTTTTAGTTCAGAGATTCAGGCAGCCACTCCCAGTGGGTTGTAGATAATGTGCAAGATAAAAACTATTTTCTCTTCCAAATCTAAGTACTAAGCTCCTAGTATAAGGTGTTGTTACAGAATACCAGAGACCATGTTAGAGACAACTACATCTCTTCAAAAAACAGCCAACAGAGACAAAGGAAAAGTGTTTAAATAGTAAGCTGTTCTTCTTAATCAGAACTATCCTATTGACTAATAAATAATCTGCATAATTCTACTTAAGGTGTGTAATCTCTGTTCTAGAGTTAGTTTTTAAGTAAGCTTGTTAATCTGCCACTTTGACATTTTGCTTAGGATGTCAGTAGCCATATTAAGATGTGTAGAATACCTTCAGAAGATGATCATAGTGTTTTGTAATCATTTAATGTCTGCAGCCAAATTTTTAAAGGTAATTTAGACCTAATACTGCTCTTGCTGTGTCTTATTAAGTTAAAATTAATGAATGAATTCTGGTAAAAATTCAAAAGGCACTCTGTGAGTAGAGAGTATCATTTAAGCTTATTTTAGTCACATGTAGTATATATCTCCTTAAAGCTGTCACTCTCACTTTCTTACCATTCTCTTGATTTCTTCAGAAACCATCTAGTCATCATCTTTATACTCTACCTGCTTCTGCAATTATATATCATATTATGTTTTCAGAGCAGTTCATTGTCAAGTTGGACTTTAAGTGACCATTCAAGAAAAGATGAAATCTCACGAACCTCAAAACTTCATTCATGTCTTTTTACAAATGAGAAAAAAAAATGCATTAAAGATTAATACTCAATTTGATTATATCTTGGGTTCTGTTTTTTAATGAGTGTTCTAAGGAAAAGCTTAGAAAAGCTGCTAACTCCTCAGAAGAAAGCATGATAGTTTAAAGGTATAGGGCATATAAATTTAGGATTTGAAATATGATTTTTTAATTAAGGTCAGTCCTACTCATAAACTCATTTTCTGCAAAGCATTATCATGGCATAAGGTTCTATGTTCAAAATTATCCCAAGTAACAAAGAAAAAAAGAATAACTGCCTGACCAGGATTTTAACTTGTTATTCTAGCTTAATCATAGATAATCAGCAGTGAAAACTTTCCTTTTGAAAGAAGAAAATATCATTCCCTATAAGTTATTTGATCTCTCTTAAACTCAAAGCTTAACATTTCACTTATGTTGATAAGTTAATGGTAATGGAGCCATTTGGAATCTTGATTGTATAAATGTTTACCAAATACACTAAGGTAAGCAAGAGGCATTTATCTAGTGAGTAGGCAAAGATTTAATATAATAATCCCCTAGGCAAAAGTTTATAAGCAGTTAGAAAAATCAGTGAATCTTCTATTTGACATTTCTAGAAACCGGAGGAAAATCTAGGGTGTCCTGGAAAAGTGATGAGGTGTTGGGGAACCTGATGCCATCTGTTGCCATTCCATTCTAACATAGTGCTACAGAACTGAACCAACTTAGGTTTTCATCCCATTGAGATCAGCTGGGCACACTGTGATGCTTTTGATTTTGTCTAGAAACCTGTCACTTCAGGATAATTTCTGAAGACAAAGTCTGTTTCCCGTTTGGTAGGTGACCTGTTTAATGTTTTCCCTGTGTCTGGGAACTCCTTAGTGTAATTAGCGACCTTTGAACTCCACAACTAATCCTGAGCTATTTTGTATTCCTTACTCATCTTTAAGGCTGGACCTTTCCTTTCTTCAGAGTCCGTTGCCACAATTAAAGAAGAAACAGCTGCATTTCAAAGGGATTCCGATTCCAGAAGCTTAATCGTGATTGACATGTTCTTATTCTAAGCTATAAGACACTCTAAGAGTCCTTTCTTGGGTTAAAACTTCAATCATTTTCTAAAAAATTATCTCACTATGGATTTTATTCATTTTCTTTGATAACTATTCTTTGCATTTTTTAACTTGAAAGATGCTTTGCGTTTGCAGTGAATATGAGCAACTACTTCCAGTGAAAGATTTGGATAGTGTCAGACCTTCTCTAGATGCAAAATTGCTAAATTCCCTTTTAGTGCCAAAATATGATTATGAAATCTGATGTCTATCACATAGGTAATTATTCTTCAATAAACTCGAAAGGTTAAAAAAAAAAGTGTTAATTTTTTAGAATGAACTCCAGAAAAGATCGTTCATGATTTTGTAAACGCTTCTTTTCTCCATTTTTTACTAAACAATATTTTAAAAACTTTTTAGAGCCAGCAATATAGTACTTAGGCAATACCCTTACGGTGGTGGCAATTTTTTTTTAACTTTTTAAGTAATTGATTCAAATGTCAAGTTTGAAGCAGTCTTGTCAGGAATTCTGATGACAATTATTTGTTTAAAAAATTTTTTTTATTAAACATTAGTCTGTCCCATAAAATCGTTTTCATTTTTTTCACACCAATTCAGTATTTCTACTAGGTTAAAATTATGGTGTTTTTATACATTGTATGATTTAAGATCTTTCAAGGCAGACATTTATACTTGGTAACAATTGCCAATTTTTTTTTCTGGTTTTTGTTGTAGTATTTCAAAATACTTCGTAGACATTGATAGACTCCTACACTACCCCTGGGAGCTAGGTAGGTGGAATTATCATCCAGGCCTTCTGTAGGGACTGCTGCCACAACAGAGTGGTTGTTCCTAAGACAAAGGTCAAAAAAAGGGGTGTTAATAAACAGTCCTCAGGTTTAAGGGACTTTTTTAGGATTACATCTTAAATTCCAACAAATCAGATTTAGGAGTTACTGAAAGTGAAATTGATCCATCCCTCATCCAAACTTTGCAATACTTTCCTGTTCTGACATCATTTAGATAGTTAGCTGTATTATCAGATTAGAAACCATTGTACCAGGCTGCTGAAAGGAAAAGGAGGCAAAAAGCTAAACATGGGATGAATTCTGAACCTTTTAACCTGGCTGAAGTACGTTGGTCCCTGTTATGCAAATACCTTCAATCCTCTGCTAAGTTCAGTGGAAATAATTTTCTTGAATGACAGGTTTATTCAGCAAGGATTCAGTTGGTGATTAATCCCCCTTTGATCTAGGGTATTTCACTTAACTACCAGTTACCTCGTTCTGACAAAGTGCAACTGAGATTAGGGAGATCACTAGAACACTACCAGGGTGTGCGTTTATTCTCTATAACCTTTTAAAGCAAGGGCCAAGAATGCAATTTATTTTCAGTATTTGAAGATGTAAAGTCCTGTCTGCTAAGTTAGAAAGTCAATTGAATACCAAATGAAGTTTATTTCTTACGTAATAGAACAAACATTTCTTTTTGCTTCGCCTAACAATGATATTAGGAAACATAGGCTTTGAAGAAAGAAGAAACAAAGACTACATTCTAAGTATTGCTTCTAGTTTTGTTTCATGCACTAGGGTATACTTAACTGGCCTTGACATAACCAAAAATCAAAGCAGTGGCTACAACTTAGACTGAGAAAATGCTTCTGTTTTATTAAGCTGCATGGTTTCTTCTCACCTTTCCCCCTACCACCACCACCACCATTAGAAAATGTCATACTGTGTGGTAAAGAAATCCAGTTGAGGAAAATGTGTTGCAGTACACAGTTATCCACCTTAAGACTAATGATTTCGAAGCTTTGTTAACTATTTCTTTTCTTGAGGCAAAGGAGCTTCTTGTGTTTCCATTATAAGAATAATTGCATTCATTTTCAGAATGCTTTTTTAAAAAAAAAAAGTGACAGCATTACCAAAATAGCCGAGTAATTAAATTTTTTCTGCCTGCCTTTTTCTCAGTTATCTGAGTACCTCTTCTTCCATAATTTTAAATTTTGAAATATTATATGGAATTTTGCACAGTATTTTGAGAAAGAAAAGGTAATGTTTCATGGTAGGTTTCTCAATTTGCTGTTTAAAACTGTTTCAATAGCAATGTCAGTCTTTATCTTGTAAGATGTCAAATCGGGATTTATTCCTCCAGTATATTTTAAGACCTTTAAAAAAAAAGTATAGTGATTTGTTACAAAATATGTTTTTAAAGATTAGATTTTGATTAATGATTTAGTTATATACAGCATTTTAATGCTTAGTAATTACTGTTCTAGTAGCATTTTGCAATACAAGGGATGTATTTAGATTATTATACTTTTTTTGGCTCAGACTTTTTGTGATCTAATTTATAAATTGAAACAATGACTCAAAGAAGTGCATACCTAACTTACGTTTGTGCCAAGCCAGCCTCCTCTAGTTTCAATTTAATAACTAGTTTCAAAATATATTTTGATAGCAAGTTCCTAAACCACAGCAGAATTGCGGATCAGGAAAAATACAAGATAACGGCATTCTATAAAGATAGAGGGCAGGTTCCCATGGCTATGTTGCTAAGAAACTAGTGTTTTTAATCATTACACTCCGTGCAGTCATATTTAATCAATAAAACAGGATATATTTTGAAATTCACCATCACAGAATATATATATATATACACACAACATATATATACAAGTATATGAATTTACGTAAATGTGTACAACACTAGTGTGTCTGACTTGGTGGGTTTCCCTGTGAAACATGTCAGTATCATGTAAGATGAAGAATATTTTAAGGGCAAATATTCAAATATCTTTCCTCCAAACACAGTATTAGTTAATAGTAATGAAATGATTCATTAAACTGAAAATTGCAAAGGAACTCATGAGTTCCTTTGTGATTGAAACAAAGTGATTAAAACTCTTATGACCTGAAGGCTTTCCAACTAGCCTCCAACTGTCCGCACCAGCTGTTTCATGGATATAACATTAGTGTTTGTGTATAGCCTGGAACAATACAAGGCTGTATCTGTATCACTAGCTTCTTGCCTTATAAGCAGGATACTGCAAGGTCTGGTTGATTTCTCTAATGCCCTAGCTAATCTGCCTAATTGACATCAGTGTCATGTTAATGTATGATGCACAAGCATTTACAGATGGACAAATGCTCCACACTAAAAACCACCTGCTGAATTTTTTTTCCAGTAGGATGTGAAATTTTGCACTTCTAATCTGTTGAACATTTAAAGTCAAAACTACATGTTTCCTTTAAATGGCCTCTTTAAATGATATTTTATGTTTATAAATTTTGTTATGAAAAATTTAAAAATTAGTTATTCCTCTTAAATTTTTACTTTTTCCTTCAAAGGACTTGGGTGCCCTCTGCAGGTTATAAAGAGATAATTAGTGACTATATCTATTTTAAAACCCTGTGATTTTTCTCTTTCATACACATAGCCTGCTTACACCCAATTTCAAAGAAAGTGTGAGCTAATTTATTTATATTAACTCTTATTAATTTGCCAGTGGTTGAAGTTGGAGTTTCTTTTCTCCACTGGTTTTATAGGTGTGTTTAGTGTGAAGAATGTGATACCATTGAACTTCCAGACTACTTAGCTGGGGCTCTTTAAATGTTGGAACTATAGTAACACACATTCCCTCACAGAAAGGAGATTGGGAAAATAGCTATTTTGAAAGTTATTGCAGATGTAGGGAATAGCTTGTTTCCCATTATGTTTCTAGAATATTACACATTTGGAGTAAGCCTTGCTTTTTCAACATGCATCATGTAAAATTACATGAAAGAAAATAATTTGAAAATTACACAAGATTTCTCTTTCTTGATCTTGTTGATGATGATTGTGTTCTAGCTCAAAAAACAGACCTTCTTAGAATTTCTTATTTTTTAAAAAAGTGAGTACTCAACAGATAATACTTTGGTACTGCCCGTTGCAGACATGGGCCTACTAAACTAGAAAGAGCATTTGAAGAGCAAAAGGCAAAGGTTCCATCACCATCCTGTGGAAATACGTGAGTTGTTCATTTCAGTACACCCATAGTTTCTCAACAGGTGTAGCAGATTTGTTTCTAAAGGACATAGGAGTGCATTTTTTATATGAAACCAGAACTGGAGTGGTAATGGCACTTCTGATTCAATTAACTTACTTGGTGAAGCTGCCAGGGAAACTAAATATGATGAGAAGAAGAGGAATGACTGGATCAAATTAATAGAAATAGATCTTTTTGCAAGCAACATAATGATTCTGATCATCAACCTTGAAAAGTAAATTAGAACAAGCAAATTGCTGTTGAAAAATTCTTTCAGCACTCTGCTGTTGCTACTCAGCTAGTCATAGCTCAGCCAGAGGGAAGGAAAAAATGCACTCGGTTTTGCATTAACAAAGGAAACATTATTAAAGTGAATGTTTACATTGTGTTTATTGAAGTGTTGAAAGAATATTTGTTGCATCTTCAAGCAACCTGCTGCTCTCCAGACTGTTACAGTGCATGAGTGATAATAAAAATGAGTCAGTCACTTGTACATTTTAGAAAATAAATAACTTTTAACATAGTATTTCTCAACTATGTTACTTCAAAATGTTTAAGTGCCAAACTTAATGTTACCTTCTCTGCTAAAGATTTTTGTCTCTAGGAAATATATTCCATTAAAAAAAAAAAGAAAGAAACTCATTTATTTATTTATTTGGGTATACCTTCCAGTTACTTCCAGATGCTTTATGTAACTTTCCTCCCAGAAGCTGCAATACATAAGAAATAATAAGCTGAAAATAATCAAAAAATGAAAACAATTGTGAAATTACTGAAATGAGTATGTAATTGAGTATGTAATATATGCATTGGAGAAATACCGGTTGATTATTGTGATAACTTTTGAGAGCTACAGTTATTTTGAACTACCTCGTAAAGACTACATTGAGAATGAAAAAGCCATTGAACAATAGATGTACCAATTTGACCTTTAAAAGTTCAATCTTTATTATATGCATTGATAAATGGGAAAGTTAGTAATTAAAAATTTAGAAGGAATTTTAGCCTTTACCTTTCTAAAATGAACAATTTAAATCACTCTTACACTTTAGAAATTGAAATATAGTATTTAACAGGGATTAAAATGTTTTACTTGGTCTCTTAGTGTTACTGAATACAAGTTTAGTATTCTGTAATCCCTTATGGATTGGCTGATTTTTGAAGAACTATTTTCTTAGATTTACCAACAGGACAAGTTGTCGGCCTTTTCCCACATTTCAACCTAAAAATGGTATCTATCACAGTTATCAAAGATTACCCCTTGCTAAAGGCTCTTAAGAAACTGTTAGCCTGTTACTTTATTACTTACCATTTCTATAACATGTACATTTATAGAGCATCATATATTTATTTTAAGTCTAGAATCAGTAAAAAGTTATGTGTTTGTCAATAATCAAAAAATGTTTAATCTAAAATAAAGTAGATGCCACGCTTCTAATTCTGCTTTTGCTAAGGCAATAATCAGTAGAAGTGGTTAGTAATATTTGTAGCTTGTTAACCAACTGGAGCAAAAGGACTTTTTAATATGAATAACAGTGGTCTCGTGCCATAAGTATTTCTCTCATACATATTAAAATAGCATGTTATTTTATTTAATATTGAAGGCCTAAACACAATTGAACATAAGGTATGGCTTGGAATTTAGAACTGCTGAGCAATATGGTTGAGAGGGAGACCTTAATTTAGTCAATAAAAATTCATAATTAATGTTAAGCTTTGTGCTCATATTATATGCCACTCTGGGATTAGACAAAAGACAAAAAACAGTTCCATATTTTGAACGATATATTCTACCTCCTGCAGTGTATTAGCATTGTAGCGTAGGAGACTATTTCTGTATGTTATTAGTACAGAAACTGCCCAAAAAGGTGATGGTTGAAGTTCCCCAGCCAGTTAAAGGGCACACCGTGGGGGCAGCATATCTCCATGGGTCTATCTCTAGCAAACAGAATCCCAGAAACTTGAGCACCTGATATAGCAGAAGGAAATAAAGATTATAGTAAGTATATTCATGAGAGAGAATTTTTTTTGCCTCCAGATGTTTGGGGTTTGGATATGTAGGGTAAATATAAATGTCTAATGAAAGTAATTACTATTATATTTGATTTGATATTTAATTTATTATACTGAAATACTAAATTAAATACAAAAAAACTCCTACATACTAACTATATGTTTCTCCCACTGATTCCCCTCCTGCCTCCTTCACTGATTTTGAATGTGTGCTCAATTTGCTAGTATGAGATTTACCTCTGCCTTATCAGTGAAGAAAATATGATGTCTATATAGAATTATAAGGAAAATATATATGTGAAGAAATGTTAGGTAATCTAACATTTGTATGCTAATGTGTCTTAGATTTACCAACTATCCTAATGTGTAGTCAATTGATAAACTAAATTTTTCTTTAGGATAGTTCACATCCAGTAGAACTTCTACCTTGGAAAACATTCTTAGCCTTGTTTATTTTGAATGTATGTGTGTGTGTGTGCATGTGTGGAAAACAAGAAAAATACAAGCTCTAGAGTAGTGGCCTCACATTGATTTATATTAGTGTGCCAGTCTTTCCCCTACCTCCCTAATATTTCAAACTTCTTGTGGACAATGACATTCATTTTCATACCTTTATATTTCCAGTGCCACCAGAAACACAAAAGCAGCTTAGTGTTGATTTAATGAAGTAGCAAAATGTTAAATACATAACAAAACAGATTGTCCTGTCACCTAAAACAAATTAGTGATGTTTGAGTAATTAGGGTTTTGCATGTGTATATAGAAAGGCTATTTTGCAAACAGTGGTTCAGTCTGTATTGGGCACAGGTGAATTCTGCCCTGCGATTGCCATCTTTAGCACTTTTCAGAGAATTTGTTGCCATTTATGACACTGATCTTCAGACACACTGTGTAGTGCCTTGGCTTAAACTGTCAGACTGGCAACAGCTGAGGCTGCCCATCATAGGACACGTTCCTTGCAGTTATGCTTCAGTGAACTTTAAAACATTTGGCACTCGTATCTTAGAAATGTCCTTCCGAAACTCACTCTACAACAGCTTTGTGGGCTCCCTACTATTTACTAGAGTCAATCCTGATTTTGTTTGGCATAATGAGACCTGATATGCTATGACTCTCCCTATCCTATAAAGCCACAGCTTTCAGCGGTCCCCGTATACTAATGAAATGGAGTCGCCAGTATCCAAAAGTTCCAAGTGATTATTTAGAACATTTCCATTAACCATAAAGGCAAAGTGGTATAGAGAAAATAATACAGTCTTTGAAGTCACACAGGCCTGATTTCAAATCCCAGCTCTGTCATTTACAAACTGGGTGGTCCTGGATAAATTACTTAACCTCTGTGGTCTTCAGTTTCCTCCCAACTTTGTAGGGTTATTGTGAGCATTGAATGATACCAAGTTATAAGTGCATAGGTATTCAATCAGTGTTCATTCCCTTCTGTATCAAAGACTTATAATGGCCTTTTCATGGAATTGTCTCTACCTATAATTATGTGACTGTGCCTTCAGATTATCAAAATTATATGAATTGTCCATGTGCCCTTGGTTTTGAATGTTCAATTCTGTATTGCAGGAATGCCTACTCAGTTGCTTGAATGGGTGTTTGGAGTTAATAAAATGGCTGTACAATTGAGTGGGTGTAAGTGTTTTATAAAGTTTGCTAAAGTTTAACAATTCGTCATTATTCATGGAAAGAAGTTTTCTCAAAATTCACAAATTATAAGAAAACAGTTATATTCTACCCAAAGTGGGATTGAGTGAAAATAAAATTCTTCCACAGGAACATTGAACAAATGTGGTAATAATGCACAAACTATTAATAGAGCTCAATTAACTTCTGGAGGTCTTTTACATTGTCCAACATATGGTCCGTACCATTCATAACAAATTGCTGTTTGTGGAAGTCATTTCTTTTTAAGATGAACCATGATCAAACCGGAGTTGGATGTCTGGTAAAGAGATGAATATGTTCAGAATATTCTAACACACATTGCATAAAATACTGTACTGGGGCCTGTTTGGTGGTGGGGGGGTGTGGGAATGTACAATTAGAGTAAGTACCTGCTTTCCTAAAATTTACAATCTAAAAGATGTAGAAATGCTTTGAGTACCAGCTGTTATCTCTTGGGGTTTCTTGACTTTTTTTTCATAAAAAAATAGAAAAATATTGACAACATAAAATGTTTTAATATCAGATTGTTTGATTTATTCATGTGGTGAAACATTTGAGTTGTCAAATTTTGCTTCCTGAAAATCTGAAGTTTCAGAACAAGGGCACTTAAATCTCAGTAATGCTAAAAGGAGTGGGAGATAATTTGTTCTCATCTCACAGAAAAGACACATTTTGTTTTGTTTTATTCTACCAGCATTTTGCCCAAATTTGCTCCATTGGATAAGGTATCCTAGGCTGCAGCTACACATTTCTGATGGCAGTGGGTATATTCCTTCATCTTCCCTGGGTTGCGTCTCTGCCACAATGCCAAGTTTCTCTCATGTTTGAAAAGAGAAAAATAAATGACATCGAAGCCTGGATTTGATCCTCAGAAACTCCCGGAGACCACTCCCCTACACTCAAGGAGCTTCCTGACTTCCCAGTCCTGCATAGGAGGGCCCCCACCCTCCAGGGAGGCACAGTTGGTAGTGCCAGAGAGCTTCTTAGGAACTACACATATTCCCATCTTTTAATAGTTACTTCTCTTTGTGTCTTCTATTTCTGGCAAACACATTTGTTTTACATTTTTAATAGTGATTTAAAGTTCTCTTTAAATAAATTTAAAAGGAATTCATATAAAGAAAATGAGTAAATCATTTGGGTAGAGTATAGCTAACATAAAGGTTAAAACTCAAATGAGTGCACAGTAATCTTGGGCCTTTGTGAAAACCAAAGATTGATGCTTAGGGAATCCAAAAGAAAGATAACTTTTTATTATCCTACGTAAGATAGTTTCTCAATAAAGCCTTTGGCAGGCTTAGTAAGCAATGTAGTCAGTGGAGAATATACTCTGGCTGTAGCATTAGGCAGGCCACAGTTCAAATGCCATCTCTGTTTAAGAAGGTCTCCTGGGGCCCAGGGACCTCATTTATAAAATAGGAACCTTACATCTTAAGACTGGTGTATGAATTAAATGATGTAGCACATACAAAGTGAATGCGACATAGGTGATGCCTGTTCATTCCCTTTGACTCCCCTCGAATATCAATGTCAGCTGTTTCTATTAATGACTTATGAACTGAAAATAGGTCATAATTATTTACATTCCAATTATTGTTTGTAATGTATTCTAGTATAATAGGGAAAAGCCAAGTATTAAATCCTCATGTTTACTGCAACACATAGAAATCAAAAGTTTATGTCAATGGCAGAGTCAGGTTTAGATTTTCATCTAGTTAAGCTAACCAGTGCCACCTCACCTACACACACACACACATATTAGTATATATATGTTTTGTAACAGATTATTTTCCTCTCTGGTTTGGTAACTAGGAAACTGACAGCTGAAATTCTGATCTTTATTAGAGGTATGCAGAGGCTTTTCATTTACATGCTTTGTTAATAGCTTTGTATTGTCTTCATTTTTCTATTCTATCCTTATTTTCCCTTTGCCTCAATTTTTTTTTTTTTTTTTTTTTTTTTTTTTTTTTTTTTTTTTTAGCTAGGGTCTTGCTCTGTCACGTAGGCTGGAGTGCAGTGGTGTGATCACGGGTCACTGCAGTCTCAATCTTCCAGGCTCTGCATTCCTCCCGCCTCAGCCTCCCAAGTATCTAGGACTAAAGGTGCCTACCACCATGCCCAGCTAATTTTTAAAACCTTTTTTTGTAGAGATGGGGTCTCGCTATGTTGCCCAGACTGGTCTCAATTTCCTGGGCTCTAGCAATCCTTCCACTTCAGCCTCCCAAAGTGCTGTGATTACAGGTGTGAGTCACCTCTCCCACCCTCAATCTATTTTTTATGTTGCATCCTATTGTACTACCCTATCATATTGTACTGATCTTTATTAATGATATACTACTATATCTCTTATAGTTTTCTCAAATCATTTTTGGAATAAGGCTGAGGATAATTATATATGCAAAATAATGTCAACCCACTGCTGAGTGATGTTCTAGGCCAAATTTAGAAAAAAAGATTGGGGAAAATGTAGTGTGATCCTGAAACTGATGTCAGATAATTCCCTGGTGGCTTCTAAATTTAAGCATTTCATTCTTGCCCACACACGGCTGTGTTATGCCACTGATTGTTGCTTTACATCAATAGCCATTAAAATCTATTTGACTATTAAAAGAAAAAGGAGGACTCACATCATTAACAACTCTACCAGTTCAAATACATGTCTTTCAAATTAGTCTCCTCTAGATATGATTCCAGTGTATCCTAGCTAGAAAAATATTCAGGGGACCTCTCTTGGAAAAGTCTTCGAAGCTAATTTAGAAGCTACAAAAGAAAAATGAACCTCATAATTTCCTCTTTTGTTTAAATAAAAACCATTTTATCTAACATAATTAACCACCTTATATTCATGAGGCTCAATACATCAAATATTTGGAAGAATATGCTACATGGTTTAAAGGCCATTCACAAAGAAAAAAATTCCCAGAAAGATTTGGGACAATGGCAGAATCATTGGAATAAGTGTGTAGTTAACCAAAGACGACTTGGAGGCTCAGTTGCAAGTTCTGATGTGTTTGTTTTTAAATGAATCTCAATAGGACACCCCATACAGCATAATCCTACATGTTTCTAGGGAGCCAAAATATTCTAAATATCAAGATTTTTTTGGGTTTTGTTTGTACAAAGCATAAAGATAAATTATAAAAATAAAAACAATTATTTGGAAGTCTTTTGTAACAAATATTTTGACAGGAAAATTACAGCAATCGTAGCTGTAGCGTATAGTCTAGGACTGGGACTGCTTTGAATGAAGGGAAAATAAAAGAGTATTTGTATATGTGTTTTCATATTCTAATTTGAAATAGTCTATCAAGAGAAACTAAAAATTATGTTTTATAGCTCATTTTCACTCTTATGACAATCTTGGAATTATTTTTATTTAATGTTAAATATTTTCTGGCATTTTTACTTTAATTATTTTTAGCTATTCACCCACAAGTGCAGTAAGGCTGACATAATTACCTCCTTTAATTCACAAAAGACATGTATTTACCTATTTGTTATAATGCTTCCTATGCTAGCATGCTGTTACTATGACAAGACTACTCTGAACACACAGTAGGTAAAATAGTACCGTATATTGCACAGCAACCCCAATAACTGAATGTTAATTTAACCAATCAAGACAAAGTAACTGCAATAATAAGAATTCTTATCTTTTAACCGAATTAAACGGAGCTCAGATTGGTCTTAAGTAGCTCATTGTTTTAGCAATCACTAGAAAAATCAGCCAGTGAAGGTACAAAGTGTATTTGCAAAGCTGCAGCTAATTAAGAGCTCCGAGTAAAAGATCTCATTGTAGTACCAGTGTTGTAGGTATTAGTGTCATATCTAGAGTATTTGACACCTAAAGTGGATTTTTTTAATACCCATCTTCACAGGACAAAATTATTTTCAGTAATAATCATGAAAGGAACGAGAATGATGGCTGAAAAATGAGTGCAGATACTAAAAATGGTCTTTTATTGAAAATGTGTGTGTGTATGCATAATAATCATGCCAGTACAAAAATTTAAAAAGGAAATATTACAGAATAAAAAATACCAATACTTTTAAATTACATTATATATCTCAAAAAGAGGGGAGAGTTTATACCTACATGTTAGTCTGTCTCAGTAATGCATACTAACATTACAGTAACTGGTAACTGAGTTTTAGTAAAACCAAAACATCTGCAAAAGGTACAATTTAGACAACTAGATTACACCACTGACGTAACATTCTGTTTTCTTGAGTTATTCTTTAGTTAAAAAAAAAAAAAAATGGTTAGGCCAGACACGATGACTCACACTGTAATGCCAGCACTTTGGGAGGCTGAGGTGGGAGGATATCTTGAGACCAGGAGTTCGAGATCAGCCTGGACAACATAGGGAGACTATGTCTCTAATAATAATTTTTAAAAATTAGCCGGGTGTGGTGGTGTGAGCCTGTGGTTCCAGCTACTTGGGAAGCTGAGGCAGGAGGATTGCCTGAGCCTGGGAAGTCGAAACTGCAATGAGCTGTGATTGTGCCACTGCACTCCAGCCTGAGCAACAGAGCAAGACCGTGTCTCAAAATTAAAAAAAAAAAAAAGTTAACAATAAAGTAATACTATTCAAATTTAGTAAAAGATGATGCTTGAAATAAAATTTGCACTTGTCAAAAACATTAAATTTACACTTGTGAAAAACATGCCTCAGACTTGGCATGCTGCTTCACTATTGTAATAAAAACTACACAGAATGACCTAATTGAAGTAACTCAGGTTCTGTTTCTTCATCTTTAAAATCACAGCGCTAAATTGTTAATTTCAACTATACTGCTTAAACATAGAAATTGGCTTCAAAGTGAGTTTCAGCACTTCACAATTGTTACTCTCAAAAAGAATGGGTATAGCAGAGCCCTTTTGTGGGGGATTAACTGTACAATTGGAAATTCTCCAAATTAATTTACATGTAGGATACAATGTTTATTAAAGGGTAAGTTATCAAGATGTGCTCATTTGAAACTTTCATATGTTTTATTTCAACTCAACCACAACCAGAGCAATTGTTTAGAATTTAACACAAGGCAGTTTACAGGAGGATTATTTTATTATTCGCATAGTTTAGAATTGGTGGCACATAGTGATAATGAAAAGCAGACAAATTTTGGTCAGTTTTATTACGTGTACTTCTCTACAGACATTGCATCCCCTTTTGCCTGCATCAGGAGGGGACTACCCTGCCCTCGACACATTACTGCATTCCCTCATTTCATCTCTCTCGACAAAAACGTGCTTTGTTTTGTGCCAGGGACATCCAACTGCAGAAAACCTTCAAAGATGTGCTGCACCAACCTTGAACGTTATATGTTCATCAATATTCACTTAGTAAGAAGGAGATCCAAGGATGCTATCTATTAGTAAATTAACAATTCTCAAATAATTGTGTGTCAACCACATGCTTCCAAGGGCGTTTATACAACGTGATTAGTTCTGCATCATATTCCACCATTAACACTATGCAGGCTCGTTTGACCCATTTTACTGGGGAGGAAATTCAGAGCTGGCCTTAGGTGGGCAGTTGACCCTCAGCATTTTTGCTTTCTCTTTGAGTACATTACTAGTATCCACTTTGCCCCTTCTCCATACCTAAAATCTCAGTACTTCTGTGTGCCTAGATTTTGGGAATCACTTCCAAGTCTCTGTGTCCCCACTGAAGTATTAGCGACTTCACGTGCTCTAATATTAGAGGATTCGCTTTTCAGATAGAATGTTGCAAAGTGAGTAAAGCTGAGCAAAAAGGCCAATGGTGCGATTTCTGACATTGACAGTGTTCTGTATTTGGGGCTATAGGGCCTCCATACTGTTAGATACCTTTCAAACTATGCTACATCAGCACCTCCTTATTCATCCTACTCATGTGGTCCATCCACCTTGATAAAGGGACAGCCAAAATTATTACTCGTGATTGCAAACAGGGAATTAGGGCTCATGAGCTTATGGGAGCATCTATCCTCATGAGCACAGGTTATCAAATCTTTTTATAAAGTCACAGGGCTTTTCCATCTTAAAACTAAAACAACACTCCCCCACTCCCCAAGATCCACACAGTGCAAGTAGCTGTGCAATCACAATTATATCTATTTTCAGTTTCTAAATCTGAAAAATGTGGAAGCAAGACGATTAGATTATCTGTTTTTTTATCCATCTCTTTTTAAATCTTTTAAAAAGTCAACCTCTTTTTTTTAAATTAGATCTCTTTTTAAATTAGTGTAGGTATCAAATTTTATTGTTAGTAGCCATGAGAGATGAGACAAATTAAGAAAAAAGTAATGATGACAATGATGACAGGGTTCATAGTTAAGGAAGTTGAGTTATAAAAATCTTCATCTATAATTTTGGAGGTTGGGTCACAATTTTAAAAATTAATACATTTTACCTATAGATAACTATTTGTTGAACATCTACTATGTGCCAGGCATTATTCTAGTCACTGGAGATCAGCATGAATAGAACAAAATCCCCTGATCTCAAGGAGCTTAACTACAGTAAGATGAGATAGAAAATAAAGATGTAAATAAGTAAAATACATAGTATATGAGGTGGTGATAAATTCTTTGGAGTTAAAAAAAGAGGGGAGGGGTAATCAGGACAAAGAGTCCTAGGAATGGAAGTGGGGTACAATTTTTACAACGTAATGTATAGTGGTCACAAAATGGGGGAGAGCCAGGTAGCAGGGGGCAAAAGTGAACCCTCTAATGATTGGGAAAAGAGAAGCAAGTGCTGTGAAAGGCAAAATCCACACACCGGGAAAAAGAAGTGGCCCAAGCTTAATCATGACAAGGACATCTAGGTGTCACAGGACAGGCAAAGGTATCATTGAGAAGTACTTCTATTTCTCAAACTCAGTATCTTGCTATTTTAAAAGATTTTTTAAAAAAACAACTGTTGTAGTTTCACAAAACACCTAAAGCCTAATTGCAATTGCCAACTACCTTCTGAAACATCAGTGTAAAATCCACAGGTATGAAAGATAATGCTTGAAATATTGTATCCTAAGCAAGACTGTTTCTCAATAAGATAGTCTGCTATTTGACTTTTTTTTTAAGCTTTCTATTAGTAACTATAATTGGAAGTCAGAGGTTGGAAATTTTCAATTCAGGAGATCCACTGAGAGTATTTTGAGCAAAATTATGGGGAGGGGGAACTGCATTCATGAGGTGACTGATCTAGAGTTGCTGAGGCCAACTGCTACCCTGGAAGATGTGGGGTATAAAAGAGAAAGAGGCGTACGTTAGAGCTGCACCATGGTCAAAGTCAGCTCCAAGGAAGAGAAGTTGGGCTTTGTCTAAGAGCTGCTTTGTCTTGCCCAGAGAGATAGGCAGTAGACCACCCACTTTTCAACAGGCTCTGGCTGCAATAAGGGGCAAGAGAAGTAGTGGACTGGTGTGCTCAACATCAGTATTCCATTTAATTGGGTAAAGAAGTTGGACCAAACAAAAGCCCCTTATGTTTTGGATAATGAGAGAAAAGTCCATTATTTGCCCATATTTATCCATATATTTATGATCAATTTGTAGAACAGTTCAGACATGTTACATCTCCAAATTGTATAAATATTCTACCCTACTTCTTAAATTGAGAGGATCTTAAGTAAACTATTTAATTACACCCAAGTAAAGTTTGAACATGGAAATTTTGGCAAAGGAAATGTTGAGAGTATTCATTATCACACATATTTACTTATGCTATACAAATGCATGGTGTTGTAGGCTAATTCTGAACCTAGATAATAATACCTAACATTTGTCAAGCACTTACTATTGATTAATCTCTATGGATTTTCTCTTTTAATCCTCCCCAAAACCGTGGAAGTTTGTTCTACTGGTACCTCCATTTTGCAGAGGAGAAAAATCGGGGCTTGATGAGAGTAGAGCCAAAATGTGAACACAGGGCAGCCTGTCTGGGGAGCCTGATTTCTTCTCCCTCTAATACAAGGCCTGCCAGGAGCAAACCTGACTCTTTGACAGTTGCAATGCCAGGACTTACATCTATTTTTATTCTTCAGTGGTCTTCTTTCTAACGCAAATAACACTAAAGCTGAAGTACTCACATTGATCCAGTTCATCTTTTCCCTAATTAGGTTGGTGTGAACATTTCTCTGCAGATCTTTCACCTTTCTTAACCCTCCCTTCTACTAACAGGGGCATTCAGTTGATGGGTGCTCTCTGGCAAGCCTGCCAATGATGCTTTGTAGCCATCTGTAAAAGAAACTTTTGCCCTGATGCCCTCCGTTTCCACAAGCAAATGACTCAAATTTCAGAGGCAAGAGGTGAGAAAAATGTAAATGGGATTCCTTGAAATGTCTCCTTTAGGTTCAGAGACCATACCTTGCAGGGGCTAATTGTCAGAAAGTTTAATTGTTACCCTGGAACTTGAGCTTCCCTCCTGTGCTGGGGCACACCATGGGTGCTAATAGTGAGGAAATTTGTGGCTCTGCCGTGTTCTCTTCATTAAGCTAATGGAACATTTTCCTCTCATTTTCGCCCTAGGGTGGCTGTAGGAGTACAACCTTATAATTGTTACTCTTACAGTAATTGGAGGTAGTAGGAGTATATATAATCTTACTGTCTTTTCTATGTGATGGTAGTTTATTTATGACCTATTGATAATCTCCAGCCAGCAGCAGAAAACTCAGTGAGTATTACATTAGCATTCCCTCCTAGGAGAGTGACTACTAAACAAAGACTATTATTAACCAAAAGAACATATATGAGGGATGGCCCATCATCCCAAATATAAACTTCATTACTGCAAAGATTGACCCCTCTGCGAATCATGGGCGTTCATTTTTTCTGCTAGAATACATAAAGCCTTAATCTTGACCTTTCTTTAGATATATGACTAGGCTTCATGAATCATTTTGGGAGGCTCTCAAAGTCCACTGCACATTCTTCAATGTGGTAGCGTGTTCTGTTTTGCCATTAAAGTCCTTGGAGTATAATAGGCCAGGAGAAAAGCATCAAAATTCACCATTCAACCCCCTGAATCAGAGCCACTGGGCCATGCTGAGTATAATTTTGGGCCAGCAGGACCCCCCCCAAAAGAAGGACACTGCGATGCCCTTGGAACCTGTTAACCTAAAGACAAATGGGGAGATGTGCTAAGGTACAAACACCTGTACTGCCAAATCTTGACCTCCTGCAGTGTACCTTGATGAATTAACTCTTTTATTGCCATCTATAAGATGGAACATTCTTTAAGACATTGAGTATCCTCTGAAAATTCTCCACAATCCATGTGGTACATTTGGTCTTCCTTACAGAGTAGCTGAAAAGAATGTGCGTGTTGGCAATTTTGCCGCTTAAAATAGTTCCATCCAAGGACTGCCCTTTATTTTTGGATAAACAATCTCTTTCAAGTACAAAGAGCTCATAAGTATAAAAAATTAGGTTGGTATTCATGGGAATATAATATTATATATTCTGCTCTACCAGGATATCAAACATCCAAAAATGTAAGGCTAGACAGGATGCATGGTCAAATATCTGAATTGATAAAACTTAGAAACTTAAAATCAGCATTAATCTAGTATCTAATATGTGGCAAGCACAGTGCTAAGAAAATTCACAGACATTATTTCATTTTCTACTCTGGTGGTAGGCAGAATAATGGTCCCCCAAAGATGTTCATATCCTAGTCACCAAAAACTGTCAATATGTTACCTTACATGGCCGATGTTATTAAGGATTTGATATGAAAGATTATCCTCGATTACCTGGTTGGGCCAGTGTAATCACAAGAGTCATTCTGAAAGGAAGGCACAAGGGTCAGAGTCAGAAAAGAAGATATAACTGTGAGAGACATCAGTGATATGGCCATGAGCCAAGGAATGTAGGCAGCCTCTAGAAACTGGAAAGGGCAAGGAAATGGCTTCTGCCTCTAGAGCCTCCAGAAATAATGCAGCTCTGCCAACCCATTTTGGACATCTGACCTCCAGAACTGTGAATAATAATTTTGTGTTGTTTTAAGCTACATTTGTGTTCATTTGTATTGCAAATTACACAAAGTGTACAAATGCAAATTGTACAAATGCAGTACAAATTACCACAAACATGGCCACCCAATTGACTAAGTAGGATACTGTCTTAATCCACTTGGGTGGCTGTAACAAACTACTGTAGACTGAGTGGCTTACAAACAGTACAAATTTATTTCTCACAGTTCTGGAGGCTGGGAAGTCCAAGATCAAGATGCCAGCAGATTTGGCATCTGGTGAGGGCTGGCTGCCTGGTCCATAGGCAGACATCTTTTCATGTAACATCATGTGGCAGAAGGGAACAGGAACTCTCTGGGAGTCCCTTTTATAAGGGCACTAATTCCACTCATGCAAAGGTCCCAACTCCCAACACCATCACACTGGAGGTTAGGATTTCAATGTACAGACTTTGTGGAGAGAGATAAACATTCAGTCTATAGCAGACACTAATGCAGCTCCCAACAATTTTATAAAACAAAACTATCATCTCAATTTTAAAGACAGAGAAACTGATATTTCAAGGGTTTCAAGTGGCTTGATTCAGCCTTCAAGAGAGAATTTAGGTACACTCAAAAATAGCCACACCTTATGCATTGTGAGAGGAATCAGTCCTTGAAGCAAATGAGTTTTCCCCAGGTCCTGAAAAAGCTGCAGGATGCATAAACTAGCTAACTCACTGACAGGACATTCATTCTTTTGTCTTCAGTCATCAGACTAGATGACTTTTTAATGAACGTAGCTGAGTTTTTATTTTTGAAAAATCTGTCAAGTTGGTGAACATTAATTCATCATTTCTGAAATCTGAGCTTGCTGTATTGCTTCTTCTTTTCTCTCATCATTTTAGTTTGGGCTTTCAAACAATTTATACCTGAGTGAAATAAACAATCTGTGAGGAAAACGGGCTTACTCTGTTTCCTGGTATGCAAAATAGCAACTTTAATCAGGTAGGGGCCTAGGAAAAGATGTCATATTCTAGTCTCATCTTTGCAGCCTATGTAAATTGCGAGTGTATTTTTGGAGGATTAATGGTCATTTTCCATGCACCTGGCATCTTGCAGCTCCCTGAGTTCTGCAGCAGGTCTTTAATAAAGATCTGAGCCACAGGGTTTTAGAAGGGTTGCTTTAACTTTGAGCCCATTTGGTTCTATAATAGATTTGTGTTCATGGCCCATCACCCCTAGCTTTAGGGAATATCCCTGCCCTTTCTATGTGGTACAAGTGAAGACAAGCTAAATATCCCCATGTGACCTAAGCCTAGCCAATCAAAGTGCTCTACCTTCTGACCATAATGATTGGTTCAGGGATCAGGGATGGGTATGTAGCCTAAGATGATCCAGAGTTCTTTTTTGGACTTTATTACCAAAGAAGAAAGATATTTTCTCTTCCTCCTTGGCAATCTATAATAATAGATTGTAGCCACTGTAGGCATGTGACTCATACATCTTGCAACCATTTTTCCAGAATCTTAGGGGGCAGCATCTGCTGTAAGAGAATGCAGCCAACACCCTCAAACTGAGAGTTGAGAGTTAGAGAGGAAAGAAAACAAAAGCAAAAAAGTCCTAATTTATCCAGCCATGCCTTGTGCAGCTAGTCCTGCTCCTGGACTCTTCAGGTACATAGGGCAATACACCACCCTTTTCAAACTTAAGTTAGTTTGGTATGGATTTGTGATTAAAAGAGAATAGGTTTTTTTGTTTGTTTGTTTGTTTGTTTGTTTTTAAATTTGAGACAGAGTTTCACTCTTGTCGCCTAGGCTGGAGTGCAATGGTGCAATCTCAGCTTATTGCAACCTCCGCCTCCCGGTTCAAGCGATTCCCCTGCCTCAGCCTCCCAGGTAGTTGGGATTACAAGCATGCATCACCATGCCTGGCTAATTTTTTGTATTTTTAGTAGAGACGGGGTTTCACCATGTTGGCCAGGCTTGTCTCAAACTCCTGACCTCAAGTGATCCGCCCGCCTCGGCCTCCCAAATTGCTGGGATTACAGGCATGAGCCACTGCACGTGGCTAAAAATAGAATAATTTTTAATTTAACTTTTCAAAAAGATGATATCATAACTCAAGGAAAAGGTATATAATGAACGCCTTCTCTCCAGTTTGTTCCCATCTGCCCATTTTCTTTTTCTTTTTTGAGACGGAGTCTCGCTCTGTCACCCAGGCTGGACTGCAATGGCGCAATCTCTGCTCACTGCAAACTCCGCCTCCCGGGTTCACGCCATTCTCCTGCCTCAGCCTCCCAAGTTGCTGGGACTACAGGCGCCCACCACCACGCCCGGTTAATTTTTTTTTGTATTTTTAGTACAGACAGGGTTTCACCATGTAAGCCAGGATGGTCTCAATCTCATGACCTCGTGATCCGCCTGCCTCGGCCTCCCAAAGTGCTGGTATTAAGGCGTGAGCCACCGCGCCCGGCCATCTGCCCAGTACCCCACAGGTCGTTCCTAATTTTTAAAACGTAACCTTTTAGATTTTATTCATGCATATACAAGCAAATGGACAAATATGTCTCTATTTTCCTCTATTTTAACACAAAAAGTAGCACACTAGACATTGTTCCTCACCTTGATTTTTTTCACCTAAGAATATATATTGGCAGTCCTTTCCTAACAATGGATAGAGAGCTTCTTCACTCCTATATACAGCTGTACAGCATTGCAAGATCAATTCTGATCAGAGGCAGGGTGCGGTGGCTCACGCCTGTAATCCCAGCACTTTGGGAGGCCAAGGCGGGCAGATCACGAAGTCAGGAGATCGAGACCATCCTGGCTAACACGGTGAAACCCCGTCTCTACTAAAAAATACAAAAAATTAGCTGGGCGTGGTGGCAGGCGCCTGTAGTCCCAGCAACTCGGGAGGCTGAGGCAGGAGAATGGTGTGAACCCGGAAGGTGGAGCTTGCAGTGAGCCGAGATTGTGCCACTGCACTCCAGCCTGGGCGATGGAGTGAAACTCCGTCCCCCCCCCCCAAAAAAAAACAAAAAAATTCAATTCTGATTAGAAGCACTGTGAAAAAGCTGGCGGGTTTTGAGAAATGGAGTCAAAACTCTTTGTGAAAAAATAGTGTAACTCTTATGGCAAACAGCATATAGGATTTTTGGCCCACTTTTTTAGTAAGTCGGAATCTCCCATTTTTGCATCCTGCTAAGCCTAATATTTCCAGAGATGAATATCAATCTTTGGGGCTACATTTGCCATGACAATTGTGAATGGCCCTATATAATCTTGAAAAATGAATCCAGGGCAAATAGAAGACTATGGCACAGGTTGCAAACTGGAGACCTACAACTCAGCCTGCTTCACAAATACATTTTCTTTGGCCTGCACAGTATTTTTTTAAAAAAAGTTTAGCTACTTTTTAATGTTTAAAATGTTTTAATTGGGCTATTTCATATTAACATTTTAATATTTTGTTTTAATATCTTATTTTAAATTTTCATATTAAAAACACAGATTTCTGGTTTCCCTTGACAACTTGGATTGTTCATTTCCACAAAGCAGCAAGAGGTTGAAGTTCAATAGCGAGGACCCTCTTTAAATAGGGTATGCCCTGTTCAGTTCTCCACAGTTCCTGCTGCTTTCTGTGGTCCCTCAACTCTAAGGTCAAGGGCCTTCTGCCATATATTATGTCTCTTGCTCTATTGCTTCTCTTTATTTACACCCAGGTAGCTTCTATGGACATTTGACTGTGTGACATCAAGTTTATTATATTTGAATCCTGGGGGACTTTAACACCCCTTCAAAGGAGAGTTATTTTCACAAGACTATCTTGAAAATGCTCAGGGGGAAAAAAAAGTTTTTCTCTTTTTCATCTTAATTAGTTTTTTGGGTCGAATAGTAAAAGAAAAGAAGAAAAAAATTACTACAGCATGTAGAAATCTCAATACATAAAGTACCTAAGGAAGATTTTTCTTACTCATTCTAACAATTATTACACTATGTTTTTTCCATCTTTGATTTGACCTCAATCATGGGAAAATCAGCATCTTGAATTACTCAGTCTTTCCTAAGGCCAATTCTAAATTTCAGGTTAAAACTGAGTCCTGACAGTGATTCAATTTCATGACTCGAGGGAACATCTTTATATTCCCCATTGTTCCTAGCACAGTCCAGTCCATGGTAGGCCCTCTATAAAGACATATTGGATCACTATCTAAAGATGACAGGTTGAACATGTGCATGTCTTCTGTCAGCCTTAACAAAACACACAAAAATAACAGGAAAGGGTGTTTTTCTTTAAAAAAAAAAAAAAAAAAAAAAAACACAAGAGGCACCCTCACGCAGTGGCTCATGCCAGTAATCCCAGCACTTTGCGAGGCCGAGGCAGGTGAGTCACCCAAGGTCAGGAGACCCTCAGGTCAGGACAAATAGAAAACATAAGAGTATTTATTTAAAAACCAGAGGAGAAATACAGGAGATTCAACATCTGAATAATGGGATAACAGGGAAAATGGAAAGGGGAAAGGTAGAAATCACCAACAGAAAACGGTCATGAGAATTTTCCAAAGTTGATTAAGAACATGACTTTCTGCACTCAACGGGCCTGGTATGTGTCCAGTCCAATAAATAAAAACAGACTTATACGTGGCTCATAATTTTGAATTTCAGAACTCAGAGAACAATGAGAAGATCCACAAAGTTTCTAAAGGGAGAAAACGTTAGACATCAACAATCAAGATTCAGCATTGGATCAGACTTCTTAAGAGAGCACAGAAAACTAGAAGAAAGTTGAATAATGCTACAAAATTCTGAGGGAAAATAATTTATATTCTAGAATTCTAGGCCCAATCAAAATATCACTTAAATGAGACATTTAGAGATTCAAGTTCTCCAAAATTTTCTTCCCTATGTATTCTTTTCAATGAAACTTCTAAAGGAGGTCCTCCATTAAAAAAAAAAGAGAGAGAGAGAGAAAGCCAGTTAAAAAAAAAAACTTAGAATTCAATAGACCAATAGAGTGGGGATGGAGCCTACACATTTGAGAGGCAAAGGTAATCCCCAGCACAACAGTAATTACAGGTGCCAGTCCAGGTTGTATCAGAATCACAGTTCCAGCCTATGCTAGATCAGGCAAATCCATCACATTAACCATTAGCTTAATACAAAACATGGACTTCTTCAAACCCAATTTACAATATGATCACTAATATCCAGAAGGGTGGAAAGCTTTGGGAGTGGGTGTGGCGGGGAGGCATTTTTCACAAATCATGTATGCTTTTTGGAGACAGAATTAGTTCTTGTGTCATATTTTCCTATCCTCCATCTCCAATTTCCCCCCAAACCTATCAAGATCTATGTAACAGAAATGAAATATTAAATACCTTTTCTTTTTTAAACAAATTTTTAAATTTTAGAATCGTTTTTGACTCAGAAAAGTTGCAATAACAGTACAGAGTTCTCTTATTATACCCCTCACCCAGTTTCTCCTGGCTCATTTGTCACAACTAGGGAGCCAACACCAGTACATTACTATTAACGAAATTCCACAGTTTCTTCAGTTTCACTAATTTTTTTTTCTATTCCAGGGTCATATTTCCAGGATATCACATTATATATAGTCATCATGTCTTTTTAACCTCCTCTGTCTATGACAATTTCTCACATTCTCCTGGTTAGATGTTTTGTAGAATGTCTTTCAATTTGGGTTTGTCTATTTTTTTTTTAATCATGGTTAGTGTGTTATTCCATTCTCACACTGCTATAATGAAATACCCGAGATTGGGTGATTTATAAGAAAAGAGGTTTAATTGGCTCAGAGTTCCCCAGGCTGTACAGGAAGTGTGGCTGGGGAGGCCACAGGAAACTTAACGATCATGGCGGAAGGTGAAGGGGAAGCAGGCACGTCTTACGTGGCTGGGGCAGGAGGAAGAGAGAAGCGGGGAGGTGCCACACACTTTTGAACAACCAGATCTCATGAGAACTCTATCATGAGACAGCATGAGGGGGATGGTGCTAAACCATTAGAAATCACCCCAATGATCCAATCACCTCCCACCAGGCCCTACCTCCAGCACTGGAGATTACAATTCAGCATGAGATTTGGGTGGGGACACAGAGCCAAACCATGTCAGTTAGACTGGGGTTATGAGTATTTGGGAGGAAGACAATGAAGGTAAAGTGCCATTCTCATCATATCAAGAGAACATGCTATCAATATGACTTTTCACTGATGATGTGTTGGAGCCAGATGATACATTTCTCCGCTGTAGTTACTTATTTCCACTTTCCACATTCTGCTTTTCACAAGTAAGTCACCAAGCACAGCTCAAACTCAAGGGTTGGAGTGTTAAACTCTACCTACTTGAGGGGTGGTGTTGAGCTTCTCCTATTTGTTTGTTTATTCAAGCTTTGACTCATGAATATTTATTTTATACTTTGGGTTATAATTTAATACTACCTTATTTATTTTGTTGCCCAAGTTATTCCAGGTTTGTCCACTGGCAGCTTTAGTTTGGCTACTGTGTTCCTCTGACATGCCTCATTTTTTTTGTCTGTTTTTGTGCTTTGAGCACTTTCTTACCCTCTGGTTTTACAAGATGCTCTAGGTTCATGGTGTATATTCCCTGCATCAGCTCTATGATCAGTCATTTTTCTATGGAGCCTGGCTCCTTTAACTGGAGTCTATCATGTGCCTCTTCTTTATTGCTGTTATTTTTTTACGGCTTGACTCTTTCTGTAAAGTTAAGAGCTATTTGGAAGATCGGGGAAGGAGAAATATATTGATTTCTTTCTTCATGATTAATGTATAATTTATTTTAACATCTTAATCTAGCTTCCTACAAGACAGAGACAATATTAATTGTCACTTATCCTAGGTAAACATTACTAGAAGTTGAAATTTTCATTCTTAACCTTATTCCCTTAGAAATATTATTTAACTGGCAACTTAACAATCCATCCGAAGAATGCTAATCAGGTATTCTAAGAATTAGATTCTGTGTTGCTAAGTATCTTAAAGGCAAGGGCCACATAAACTTATAGGATAATTAATATTCTTAGACTTCACATTTTTATTAAGAATATCTAATAGACCAGCCTGACCAACATGGCAAAACCCTCTACTAAAAATACAAAAATTTGCCAGGCATGGTGGCAGGCGTCTTTAGTCCCAGCTACTTGAGAAGAGGCAGGAGAGTCGCTTGAACCTAGGAGGCAGAGGTTGCGGTGGGCTGAGATCGCACCATTGCACTCCAACCTGGATGACAAAGCAAGACCTTGTCTCAAAAAAAAAAAAAAAAAAATCTAACATACTTTACAAATTCGATACTCTGAGTCATTCAGTCGGTACACAGGTATTGTCATTTATTTTTTAACTTAAGGAAAAAAAAGATATCTTCATTCTACACATAAAATGAATGACCAAAACTAGGCCTAAACAATTACTTCATAAGGAGCAGTTAAGTTAAATTAATCTGAAATCTATGCTATGTAAATGCAAATTCAAAGTTAATTATATTTTTTCCCAAAAAGCTACATTTGCATTTACAGATACAGGGCTCAACTCAACTGTCTGTGTCAAATGACATAATCTGGTTATTAGACTTATGATGGGATTTAAACATTTTAGTGAGAGGAGAAAAATAAAATATTCTTTTGTTTAAATTAAGTTTGGAATTCAAAGGATTTGTTCATTTGGTTCTCCAAGTTTTAACTTTCAACATGAGAGAGTCTTGAAAGTAGTATCTTTGCTTCAAAGGCTTTTGCTTTCAAATTTAACTTTTACTTTGAAACTAACTGAAAGGGAACTAAGTGTATCAGAACCATACCTAATCCCCTAGAAGTCAGCATTGCATCGAGTTTATTAAAATTAAACACTCCTCTTTTTTCCTCTCCTTCCCAAACAGACATCTGGCAATAAAAAGCAAATCAGCTGAGCTAGGATAAAACAAGAAATGTTTTTCCTTCGCTAGTTCATTTGGAAAAGTCACTTTGCTAATTGAGAAAAATTTTAATGAATTTTACTTGTATTAAAATAAAGGTGATTGCTTCATGGCAACAATGTACTCATTTGAGAAAGTCATTACATTTATGTATTGTGTTGTCATGTAAATACTTTTGCCAAAATGTATTAACAAGAAATATAATATTATGGTTCATGGTTCATGTAATATCTGAAGAGAATAATTGTATAACTAATCAGTGAAAACAAAGCAAATGTTCCTCTTGGGTTTGTACAATAAAAATGGAATTAAAATTATTCAGGCTCAAAAATGCAAATATAACACATCTCCACCAGCAGAAAAATAAAATTTTAAAGGCAAAACTTGTATGTTCAATTCCTCTAAAAGTCTTAGTTTGATTCCCAAGCCTCATCAAAGTTCACTTCATGAATTTTTACAAAGTAATCAAATATTTCATTGTTTTAAAAACAATAAAATTATTATTCATTTTCCTGAACAAGCTCACTGATATTCAGAACACATTCTGGGGAAATTTAATGCTAATCAGTGCAGTGGCAGCAACCAAAATGGCACTTTAATGTATTAAACAGTAGCATAAGATTAAATTCACAGTAAACTTAACAGGAAATAGCCAATATCAATTTAAACACATGAAATCTTGGGAAACGGTAAAGATTAGAAATGACCTGAAGTAATAACCAAATTCTCTTGCAAAGTATAGGCCTTATATTAGACAACAGCACCCCCTACCGGAAGCTTGAGTCCGGGGAAGGGAATCTGTGAGGCTGGCAGGTGGAGCCACCATGGAATTCAAGTGCATCATCAGTCCTAGAATCATTTCTTTTCTATTGCATAACCACAAACTTCAGGTTCATCACCTAGAACTTTCATTATTCCCTCAACTGTAAGTGGGCCAGAAATTGATTCAGAATGTTTTATTAGTAAATATTTGGTATGTCTTTTTATTTAAGAAGGCTAAAATTCTGTGATAAATACCTGACATTAAAAAAAAAGAGATATCTGGTCATACAGTGATCTTGATTAGACTTCCTTGGAATTTCCCCACAGTGCTCAAAATTGTTTCTTTTCTTAGTAGATTATATATTTCTGAGGGTGCTTTGTTCTGATACCCCAACAAGCATGCATGGTGGCTATACTTACACATTTATATACAAATATTAATACATGCAAATACACACATACACACACATACCATATACACACAAGGTGCAACTATGATTCAAAGTGGAACATAGCAGTTTAGAAGCCTCAGTAAAATGGAAAGTCTTTGCCATCAGTTTACCTTCCAGTGTTCAGGTTTCTGGCTTTTTTCTATGATATTGTTTGGGTGAGTACACATCCTTAACAATCACTTACAAGAAGAAATATGAAAACTTCTGAGGGATGATAAAAGGCAGTCATCTGACAAACAGACTAGCCATATCTACAAAACACCCTCTTTAAAATATTAATATAAGCATAGGTGATCTTTAGACTGAAAAAAATACTAATATGAAATGCCCAACAGTGTTTTGAATGCAGCAATTAAATAAAGCAAATATCTAAACTGGGTTATGCCCTATAACTAAAGGAAACCTCAGTCACGCTGACTTGCTAAACGTGTACATGCCACAAGAGTAAGCACAGTGATCAGAGAAATAAACTGAAGAAAAAAATCAGGGGGGATCATTTTTTAACAGATGTTGCAGATCAGTAGAGAGAATGGAAGAGGAAAATAGAAGCAAGCCTGAAAACCAAATTGGGCTTGAAGAGCAATCCATATTACTATGAAAAAAGATGGGAACAGCTCTGAGCTTTGCATTTTACTTTATGAACACCCACCACCCACCTCCAGCACCAAATGCTTTAGTTTTGTGACTTTCATGTGAATGATTTTTATAAAAACACACCAAGGAGGCATAGTACCCAATGAAGGCAATCCGATCTCAGACCATGTTCATTCTCCTAGCCAAGTGAAAGGAGAAGCTTTCTTTTCCTTCCTCGAAAGTTTTAGAGTGCACAGAGGAGGCCAGAAGCAGCCAAATTGGAAGGCACTCTGTTTTTAACCCTCTTGCTTGAAATACAGAGTAAAATCATTTCAGAGAAAGGTTAAACATCTACTCAAAGTTGTCTACAGGTGGGAATGTTTGTTTCCTGAGGTTAGAAGCACATCATGGTCCAGGCGCAGTGGTCCATGCCTGTAATCCCAACACTTTGGGAGGCTGAGGCAAGCGGATCACTTGAGCTCAGAGTTCAAGACCAGCCTGGGCAACACGGCAAAACCCCATCTCTAGCAAAAATACAAAAAATTAGCCGGGAATGGTGGCATGCACCGGTGGTCCCAGCTACTCAGGAAGCTGAGGTGGGAGGACCGCTTGAACCCAGGAGGCAGAGGTTACAGTGAGCTGAGATCATGCCACTGTACTCTAGCCTGAGTGACAGAGTGAGACCCCATAAAAAGAAAAAGCAGCTTATGCATTCCTCAAAGAAACACAATCAAAAGTATTTGCAATTACAGGTATTTGAGGGGCAGCCACGTAGTAGTTGGAAAAAGCAGGGAGTCAGGACACAGGGGCCCAGAATCCTGTCCCAGTTTGGCCCCACTATGTGCCCCTGCATGTCATTCCACTGCTCTGTGCCTTTGTTTCTTCATCTATAAAGATGAAGACACTTGACTACATTTCCGTCTCAGTCTTTGATGACAAAGAAGTTTTAATGAGGATTTAGTGTTCAGACAAGACATGATCTAACAGTGTATAACAGTGCTTCATAAAATGATCATGGTGCAAAAAGGGAGAGGCTTCACAGGATCAAAGAACTATAGTTATGATGGATCTTCCCTGGATTCACTCATTCATTTATCCTTCCGTGGGTGTTTATTAAGGGTCTAGTATGTGTCAGACTTCAAACCAGGCAATATAATACAAATTTGAATAAGACTCACTGTCTTCTCTCAACGAACTCACAACTTAATGGGGAAGAAAGACAAATCTATCTGTATTCACAATACAGGGCAGGTAGTTCTCTACTAGCATATGCTAGAGTACTGGGGAGCATGTCTGGAGGATCTCAAGCAGGGAGGAAAGGGTGAAAGCTGTCACTAAGGAATGCTTGGAAGAGGCAACCACAAGCCTGACCTTAAAGCACGAACAGGTGTTAGCCAGGAAGAAAAAAGAAAGGAGGGGCATTTTAGGCAAAGGGAGCAGTCTTTGAACTAAAGACTGGACCAGGGAGAAATGTAGAAGATTCTGGCAACTTCAAGTAGTTCAGTGTGGCTTGACAGCAGGGTGTGTCCAGAGAAGCTCCTGCAGAGGGAGTGGGAGTGGAGGCTGAAGTACTGAAGGAAAAAGCTCATTCTACCCAGCATGGGGGTGGGGACAGCACAGAATAGACTGGAGGTTTTGAAGACTGTTGGCGAGAAGAGCAGAGTGGTAGAGCTTGTGATAATTATCTGTACCAAGGCCACAGCAGTGGAAATAGAGAGTTGGAAAAGAAATTGCAAAATGTTTATAAAATAGAATTAACATGTTCAGTGATTGATTGTGTTTGAGTGAGGGAGAGGGAGATGTTGAGGATGACTTACTTTCAGATTTCTGGCTTGGATGGCTGGTGCTGGGACCAGCAATGCAGGATGGAGATCGGACTGGGTGGAGAAAGATGCAGAATTCTGCCTGGGCCGGGGATTAATGAGACATTCAGATGAAGGTCTCTTTAGGGCTTCTGGAGGATAAAAGAGTTTAGAGAAAAGCAACAAATATTCCCAACACCCTTCATACCATCCATTAGCTTCTGAATAAGAACTCATTCTCATGACCACATCATGAAAATGTATCATTCTGGACCTCCTCCACTGTTCTTGCAGATCTAAACACAGCCTTCTGTCATCTTGCGCTGTCTCCTAAACTCCCAATCTCATACTCACACTTTACCTAATCTTCAACTTCATCCAGACTCCAGTTTGCAGGTTGCTGCTCATTTTCTCAGCCCACCAGGCTCCTTCCAGCTCTACTTTCTTCCCTATCTGGAGAAGGGAATCATATTTGGTCTTATTGTGATACCATCTAGAATCACATAGAAGAATCACATAGAAACGCATAGGAGACACTCATCCTGATCACACTGAATGATCTCTTAGACTCAGACCTCAATATTCACACAGTCCCTAACACATCCTCCCCCAAAAAACCAGAGTTTAGATGATGCTCCACTCACTTCCACACAACTACCTCTGCATTGTCCCAAACCAGGTATGGGTTTTGTTTTTTGTTTTTCTGAGATGGAGTTTCTTTCTTATTGCCCAGGCTGGAGTGCAATGGTGTGATCTCGGCTCACTGCAACCTCCACCTCCCGGGTTCAAGTGATTCTCGTACCTCAGCCTCCTGAGTAGCTGGGATTACAGGCATGTGCCACCACACCCACCTAATTTTTTGTATTTTTAGTAGAGATGGGGTTTCACCATGTTGGCCAGGCTGCTCTCAAACTCCTGACCTCAGGTGATCCACCTGCCTTGGCCTCTCAAAGTGCTGGGATTACAGGCATGAGCCACCACCAAGTATGTTTTAAAGTGGCCCGAGATTGGATTCCTGGGCCAAATCCTCTCCCTTTAGAAAATTCAGAAGCTGCCAGGGAAGATCACAATTTTAAAATGGCAGCTTCTCTGAGCCATTAGACAAGTCTCACAGTTGCTAGACTTGATGAGTTACTCCTTTTATTTTTTCAGTAAGTACTCAGTGAATATTTGTTAAGCAAATGGTATTTTCAGAGTATGTCTGTAGCCTTTAAAATTTGATTCTAGGCTGGGGATGGTGGCTTATGCCTGTAATCCCAGAGCACTTTGGGAAGCTGAGGCAGGAGGATCGCTTGAGCTCAGGAGTTCAAGACCAACCTGGGCAAGATGGTGAGAGCCCATCTCTATTTTTTTTTAATTATTCTCTAAATATTTTAATAATAAAATACTTAAACCTTTTAGCTGTCTGCTGAAATGCCAACCCAACAGGGATCATTGATAAATATGATGATAAAGAGAAATAAATGTACCCAGTTACCCCTGGAGAAAGTATCAGTATCCCCATATAATGAACGTGAACAGCCATCTGAGGAAGTAAACCAAGATGTCATTTACAAATATGTAACATAAACCCTTACAATTGGAACCCACACAATTCCAATCAAGATGACCTGGAAAGGGTGTTTAGAAAGGAAAATCTTCTGTAGCTAATTATATGGTACCAAGACTGGAGATGGACTGTATGAACTGTCCTGGAAAGAGAGTAACCTATCTGAATGACAAGGCTGCCTACACATTTAAATCATCTCTGATTCTGTCTGTTTGTAAACTTCTGATTTTCTTGCTAGCTGTTTGACTACAGAAGAGGATATATTGGTTGTACAGATGGAAATGCACCATCTTCCTGGCAGTTATATATCATATTGCCAATTAATAAATTTGTATTAATTCAGCCTTCTCTACTGGGTTTAGTTATGTGAGTTGCCATCTCCAAATCCTATGTAGATGGATACACATTCTGCAAACTCTTAAGGTTTGAAAGCCATAGAAAAGTAAATTCCACCTTGTGAAACCCTCTGGGACAAGGCTTGCTAAACCCTCCAGCCATATACCTGAATGTGACACCTACAGGGCAACTTCTGTAATATTTGAATGGCAACCCCAATGGATAGTCAACAAAATAGTTATTGACTTTGCTGCACATATGTGTGGTTGTCAGTAATCATAATAATTCCTATTTGTCCAATGGCTACCATGTGTCAAGAATAGCTCTAGGTCTAATCAAAAGTATGTAACATTTTTTCCTTTAAATCTATTTTGAGCAATTGATGCTCTCTTAAAAAAAAGAAAAACAATCTTATTTATAACAGTGAAAAACTGGAATCAGCCTAAACGTACAACATACAATAATAAAGAGGGATCTCAATTGGTGAAAACACATACATGAAAAGACTAAAGAGCTACACATCGAAAAGTTAACAGACAGAATCTGGTGTCTTTTTCATCATTGGCTTTGTTCTTTTATATATTTACATTTTTTTCTGCACTGAATATGTACTTTATAATTCAAAAGTTTTCATTCACTGCTAATTCACAAAAAGAAACTTCAAAATTATTATTTGTCTTCAGAGTCTTCTTTGGGTCTTATTTCAACGGAATGTGAGAGTTCTTTAAAAATTACATTGAATTATTAGATGAAGTACAATTAAATTGTCCCTTTGGTTTACTAAAGAGTTAATCTGCCATTATGCTTGCACATATTTGGCCTCTCATTCAAAGCAAACCCATAGAGCAATATCAGCCCAATTTTGCTTCATTACCATAGCAACATAATGATGACAAAAGCACACGGCTCCTTCCCTCCCTCTCACACATATGCCCTGTTACTGTTTCTCTTTCACCTATTTTCGTTCATCGCCATTTTCCTCCATCTATATATTTTTTATCCTTTTTCCTATACTGGCTTCCTTCTTCCCAAAAAGTTTATGTGTGGCAAAAAAAAAAAAAAAAAAAAAAAAAAAAAAAAAAGAGTGTATGTTACTAATCATAACACCCTCAATTTAAAATGCCAGTTGGTTTTTTCTGTTTTGTACTCTTCAAGACTCTTCCTAGTCAACCTTAGGTAAGGAACAGTTATATTTTTTCCTGGGAAACTTCTCTAATCAATACTTTTGAATACAAATAATTTCAATATTCAGAACTTAACTCAAATGAGCTTTTAGATGGGAGGAAAGAGTGCATACTGGGGGAGCCACTAGCAGTAACTGCATTTTATTGGGCTTCTTCCACTTCTCTTTTCTCGTCTTCACACACATAAACACAATAAATCCACTATTGATTCTGGTAGTGTGGAGAGATGGGACAGTAACAGGAGCATCACAGGTAAACACTTCAATTGCACTTCATGAAATCAGGGACTCCATATAGAGGGTATGCAGTGACCGTGCCTACCAAATCCACTCTACACCCCTCCTTCTTCTTTCCTGTTTTTTCTATGTCCTTTATTTCTTCCTAAGAATTCTGACTTCACCCAGGTACCTGCTCTTTTACTGGAAGTCATATCCTTCAGGAGAGGCTAGTCCCAACTCCAAGCTTAGATTGGGAGTCTTGATTGATGTAAGCTAATCATGATGGTACCTACCATTCCCTTGTCATGGTTGGCTTAGGCGCGGGCATGCAATACTTTTCTGGCCAATAAGGCAAAAAGGGGAAGCCTGCCAGTAGCTTCTTGAGACATGCAAGAATGTGGCAGTGACAGCTTGTGGTTCCCACTATACATGTTCCACCTATTCCACAGTAGCAGAGAAAGTTTAGCGGGGTATATGGACATCCAGAATAAAGAATGCATTACTCAGCCTCTTCTGTTGCCCATGTGGCCTGATAAGTTCTGGCTAATGAGATAAAAGCAGAACTGTAGTGTGGCAGCTTCTGAGAATCTTCCCTATTGACAGCTGACAGGTGCTTCTTACCTACTTTTTTTTTTTTCCTCTGACAGGGTCTCATGTTGTTGTCCAGGCTGGAGTGCAGTGGCATGATCAAGGCTCACTGCAGCCATGAAGTCTTGGGCTCAAGCAATCCTCCTCCTCAGCCTCCTGTGTAGCTGGGACTGCAGGCATGCACCTGGCTAATTTTTATTGTATTTCTTATAGAGATATTGTCTTGCTTTTTCCCAAACTGGTCTTGAACTCCTGGCCTCAAGTGATCCTCCTGCTTTGGTCTCCCAAAGCACTGGCATTACAGGTGTGAGCCACCACACTCAGACGTTTTTTACTTCTTTTATTCTGCTATGTGGATGTGGTAGTTGGAGGTAGAACAACCACCTTTGATCATGGATGATCTTAGGAATGGAGACTATGTATGGCAGAAGCAAAAAAAAAAAAAAAAAAGCCACACTTAAGTGGCTGTTATTTTACGTTTCTTGTCATTTATAGTCAAATCTTATACTAACTAATACAAAGAAAGAGATGGCCCATTTTCAGTCTCTAAATGTTGTTGTATCTAGAAGTTATGTCTGGAATGCTGCATCCATTTTGTAAGCATGAGGAGAACCAGCTCAAGGCCAACATCAAACATAAGGATGGCAGGGGATGACATACAGGTAGCATCAAACAGCCCTGCAACCACCTTCCAGAGGATTTTTTATTACACGAGAAAAAATACTTCAATATCGTTAAAACCATTGAGTTGATGATTTCTGTTTCTTGCAGCTGAAAGCACTCTAGTTGTTACAGATGTTAATAATTTCTTTCCTGTTTTTTTTTTTGAGATGGAGTTTCGCTCTTGTTACCCAGGCTGGCGTGTAACAGTGCAATCTCGTCTCACCGTAACGTCTGCCTCCCAGGTTCAAGCGATTCTCCTGCCTCAGCCTCCTGAGTAGCTAGGATTACAGGCATGCACCACCATGCCCAGCTAATTTTGTATTTTTAGTAGAGATGGGGTTTCTCCATGTTAGTCAGGCTGGTCTCAAACTCCCAACCTCAGGTGATCCGCCCACCTCCCAAGGTGCTAGGATTACAGGCGTGAGCCACCACGCCCAGCCTTTTTTTTTCAGGCAGAGTCTCGCTCTGTCACTCAGGCTGGAGTGCAATGGTGCAATCTCGGCTCACTGCAACCTCCACCTCCCGGGTTCAAGTAATTCTCCTGCCTCAGCCTCCCAAGTAGCTGGGCCTACAAGTGTATGCATGTCACCATGCCCAGTTAATTTTTTTTTTTTTTTTTTTGCATTTTTAGTAGAAATGGGCTTTTGCCATGTTGGCCAGGCTGGTCTTGAACTCCTGACCTCCGGTGATCTGCCTGTCTCGGCCTCCCAGACTGCTGGGATTACAGGCATGAGCCACCATGCCCGACCACGGATATTAGTAGTTTCTAATGATTAAAAACTATAAGCTCCTTCAGAGAAGCTCAGCTAACCAAAGATTTGGAAGAAGCAGGATTAAACACGAAGGTTTGAGGAAGGTGTGTTATAAAATGTTTAGAAAATAGAAAATGGGAGAAAAAATGACAGCAGTCCAAAATAATCATGATGATAATTTTGACTTTCTAGTCTTTAGAAAAAGTATTACATATAACTACACATATTTTTACATGTAAGTAATCACACTACATGTTTAACTTCGTCTCTCCCACTGAATATAGATAAAGACCACAGAATTCAAGAAGCAACTGCCTGGGAACTCTGAGAAGTATAACAAAGCAGTTTGAGGAAGAAATTCAAAACTCAAAGAATGGCTGCGCGAGGTGGCTCACACCTATAAGGCCAACACATTGGAAGGCTGAAGTGGGAGGATTGCTTGAGCCCAGGAGTTTGAGACCAGCCTGGGCAACATAGAGAGACCTTGTCTCTACCAAAAAAAAAAAAAAATTTTTTTTTTTTTAATTAGCTGGGCCTGGTAGTACATACTTATGGTCCCAGCTACTTGGGATGCTAAGACGGGAGGATGGCTTGAGCCCAGGAGGTCAAGACTTCAGTAAGCCATGACAGCACCATGGCATTCCAGCCAGGGTGACAAAGGGAGACCCCCTTTTCTAACAAAATAAAACAAAAACTGAAGAAAAACTGCAATGGTGTTAGTAATGGTGATCTTTGTTTCTTTGGGGGTGGGCAATTTTTGATTTGGGGCTTTTTTTTTTTTTTTTGCTTTTACTGGAGGGTGGGTCACATCACAAAACTGCTCGGCAGATGCAGACGACAAAAACCGTCGGGCCAGAAGACTGGCAATAAAAACCACTGCAAACTGAAGAGTGCGGGGGAAGTCCCTGTTTTTCACCTTCCCCTTTTTCCTCTCCCTGACCTGACCTGAGGCCAATCATGCATCTCCGTGTCATGGCATGCATGTGGTGAAGGTTGTAGAGGAGTCTCCATTATTTTTCTCTCCACTTCTCTCTCACTCCCCCTCTGAGAGTGGGCCCAGTTGTATGGAACTGGGAGTTTCATTAGCACAGAGGTTAAAACTCTTAACGAACCCCATCTCTCCTGCCAGAGGAACCAGGAAAAGAGATCACTGGAAGTTAGACAGTGTGGAGGAAATCTCAGAGAGGAGAGATTTTGAGAATGAACCTAATTCTGTGAATGAACTGACACAAGTCCTAGCCTTACCTCCAAGCTGTCCATGGGGGAATACACACACACTCACACATACACACACACACACACATACACAAGCATAGTAAAGGCTTTGAGAACTGAACTAGTATTGGAACTACTGCTCAAAGAGAGAATTTGTAATCTCAACCTATGAGGGTTTTTGCCTGCTGAAACAAACAAAATGAACATTCTCCAGAGAATTTTAGCAGGACTCAGAGACTCACAACATAATATTTAAAATGTTCAGGATACAATCCAAAATTACTTGATATGTAAATAACCTTGAAAATTGGATCAATTCTCAAGAGAATAAACAATCAACTAATGTCAAACCCAATGAATTAGTCAGGATTCTTTAGAGGGACAGAACCAATGGAATAGATTTATACATAAAGGGGAGTTTATTAAGTATTAACTCACACCCTCACAAGGTCCCACAATAGGCCATCTGCAGGCTGAGGAGCAAGGAGAGCCAGTCCTAGTTCCAAAACTGAAGAACTTGGAGTCCGATGTTCAAGAGCAGGAAGCATCCAGCACGGGAGAAAGATGTAGGCTGGGAGGCTAGGCCAGTCTTTTCACACTTTTCTGCCTGCTTATAGTGTAGCCTCACTGGCAGCTGATTAGATTCTGCCCATGAAGATTAAGGGTGGGTCTGCCTTTCCCAGCCCACTGACTCAGATATTAATCTCCTTTGGCAACACCCTCATAGACACACCCAGGATCAATACTTTGTATCCTTCAATCCAATCAAGTTGACACTCATTATAACCATCACAAGTCCACCCCTTGTTAACTTGAACCCATACACATCTCCTGAGATCATACATAATCTTCGAATAAAGACAATAATAAGGTCATAATTACACTTAACAATACAACTATCCTTCATACAACCAGAAATGCACCCATCCCCAATCCAAATACTATTACATAAAGTTAACAATACTTAAATGCTGATGTGAAGTCAATAAATCTTATGTCACATGGTAAAGGAGAAAGGAAATAAAGTGAAGATATTTTCTTAGTACAAGTGTATACATGCACAAACATGTTTTTAACAAAAGAAGGAGGAAATATTCATGACAATTACAGTCCTGTTTCTGCAGCCAGACACATGGTCATAGCTGGTATTGATGACTACCTTCTACTACCCATTCTGTATTCCCTTTGCCTTCAGCAAGCACCTCAGCAGGTCATGGTTTTTTCCTGGTGGAGTGACCCAAACCTTCATTCCTGAAGGGTCTGGATCATTTGTAGTCCTGCCTGGATTGGGCTGTTGTAGTTTCCCATTGACCTTAATCATAGGGCATGGTAATACTAAGAGACGCCCTAATGGATCTCCTGTATTCCATGCACATTTTTCCTTACCTCCATTGTGGAGTGGTAGACTGATTTCACCTTGATAATCCAGGTCAATCACCCCAGCCAACACTGTAATTCCCTTCTTAGCCTGTTGGCTTAAAGGTAGGAGAAGCCCAAAGTGTCCAGGTGGCAATCTTAACTTCCAGTTTAATGGAATCGTTGTTGTGTCTCCTGGTGGCAGCATTTCTCCCTCTGGAACTAAGACCTCTAGGCCACAGAACGTAATGTCGCAGGAAAAGGAAGCAAAAATTTTGCTAGTAGATCACTAGGGGTGATGGTGAGTGGTGCCACTTCCACTTCCACCCCTTGATTACTGGACCTGTGAATCCTGGCTATGGGAGAAACAATATCACATATTGGATGCTGATTCAGAGCATATGGGGCCTTCTGGAGAATTTTGCCCCAACCCTGCAAAGTACATTGTACTTTGTGACTTGTAATTGTAATTGTGACTTCAAAAGGCCATTCCACTGTTCTATCAATCCAGCTGCTTCAGGATGATAGGGAACAGGGTAAGACCAGTGAATTCCATAAGCATGAACCCACTGCTGCATTTCTTTAGCTGTAAAGTGAGTGCCTCAGTCAGAGGCAATGCTGTATGCAATACCATGACGGTGGATAAGGCATTCTGTGTGTCCATGGATGGTAGTCTTGGCAGAAGAATTGCATGCAGGATAGGCAAACCCATATCAGCAGTAAGCATCTATTCCAGTGAGGACAAACCTCTGCCCTTTCCATGATGGAAGATGTCCAATATAATCAACCTGCCACCAGGTAGCTGGCTGATCACCCTGAGGAATGGTGCCATATTGAGGGCTCAGTGTTAGTCTCTGCTGCTGGCAAATTGGGCACTCAGCAGTGGCCATAACCAGGTCAGCCTTGGTGAGTGGGAGTCCATGTTGCTGAGCCCATGTGTAACCTCTCTCCCCGCCACCATGGTCACTTTGTTCATGGGCACATTAGGTGATGACAGGGGTGGCTAGGGAAAGGGGCTGAGAGGTGTCCACAGAACAGGTCACCCTATCCATTTGATTATTAAGATCCTTCTCTGCTGAGGTCACCCATTGGTGAGCACTCACATGGGATACAAATGTCTTCACAGTTTTTGACAACTCATTGTGGTCCATCCACATAACTCTTCCCCAAATTTCTTTGTCACCAATTTTCCAATCATGCTTCTTCCAAGTGTCTGACCATCCAGCCAAATCATTGGCTACAGTCCATGAATCAGTATATAATCACACATCTGGCCATTTCTCCTTCCATGCAAAGTGCACAACCAGGTGCACTCTCGAATTTCTGCCCACTGGGAATATTTTCCTACACCGCTTTCCTTCAGGGATGTCCTAGAAAGGGGTTGTAGTGTTGCGCTGTCCACTTTTGGGTGATGCTTGCATATCATGCAGAGCCATCTGTGAATCAGGCCCTGGTCTTCTCTTCCTCTGCCAACTGATCATAGGGAACTCCCCATGAGGCCATCGGTGTAGGCTGGGGAAGAGAAGGCAGGGTGGCAGGAGTGGAGACCATGGGGATTTGAGCCACTTCCTCATGTAACTTACTTGTGCCTTCAGGACCTGCTCGAGCCCAATCACATATATACCACTTCCATTGGATGATGGAATGCTGCTGTGCATGAACCACTTTATGGCTAGATGGGTCAGAAAGCACCCAATTCATGACAGACAGTTCAGGTCACATGGTGACTTGATGACTTATAGTCAAATGTTCAGTTTCCACCAAAGCTCAATAACAGGCCAAAAGCTGTCCTCAAAAGGAGAGTGGTTATCTGCAGAAGATGGCACAACTTTGCTCCAAAATCCTAGAGGCCTGTGATTTACCTATGGGGGCTTGCCACAGGCTCTAAACAGCATCCCTATCTGCCACTGACATCTCAAACACCATTGGATCTGCTGAGTCATATAGCTTAAGTGGCAGAGCAGCTTGCACAGCAGCCTGGACCTGTTGCAGAGCCTTCTCCTGTTCTGGATCCCACTCAAACTGGCAGCCTTTCAGGTCACTCAATAAATGGGCCAGAGTAACATACCCAAATGAGAAATGTTTTGCCTCCAAAATCCAAATAGGCCCACAAGGTGTTGTGTCTCTTTCTTGGTGGTAGGAGGGGCCAAATGCAACAACTTATCCTTTACCTTAGAAGGAATATCTCGACAGGCCCCACACCACTGGACCCCTAGAAATTTTACTGAACTAGTAAGTACCTGAATTTTAGTTGGATTTATTTCCCACCCTCTGGCATGCAAATGTCTCACCAATAAGTTCAGCGTGCTTGCTACTTCTTGATCACTAGATCCAGTCAGCAAAATGTCATCAATGTAGTGGACCCGTGTGATATCTCACATAAGTGAAAAGAGATCAAGTTCTCCCCAAATAAGATTATGACGTGAAGCCAGAGAGTTCATATACTCCTGAGGTAGGACAGTAAAGGTATATTTCTGGCCTTCCCAGCTGAAGGAAAATTGCTTCTGGTGGGCCTTATAGACAGGAATGGAGAAAAACACACTTGCTAAGTCAATGGCTGCATACCCGGTACCAGGAGATGTGTTAATTTGCTCAAGCAATGGAACCACATCTGGTACAGCAGCTGCAATTGGAGTCACCACTTGGTTAAGCCTAAGATAACCCACTGTCGTTCTCCAAGATCCATCTGTCTTCTGTACAGGCCAAATGGGAGAGCTGAACAGGGATGTGGTGAAAATCACCACCCCTGCATCTTTCAAGTCCTTGATGGTGGCACTAGCCTCTGCAATCCTTCCAGGGATGTGATATTGTTTTTATTTACTATTTTTCTAGGCAGAGGCAGCTCTAATGCCTTCCATTTGGCCTTTCCCACCAAAATAGCCCTCAACCTATCAGTCAGGGAGCCAATGTGGGGGTTCTGCCAGCTACTAGGTATGTCTATGCCAATTATGCATTCTGGCACTGGAGAAATGACCACAGGATGAGTCCCAGGACCCACTGGACCCACTGTAAGTCAAACCTGAGCTAAAACTCCATTAATTACCTGACCTCCATATGCCTCTACTTTAACTGGAGGACCACAATGACATTTTGGGTCCCCTGGAATCAACGTCAGCTCAGAGCCAGTGTCCAGTAGTCCCCAAAATATCTGATAATTTCCCTTTCCCCAGTGCACAGTTACTCTGTTAAAAGCCCAGAGGTCTCCTTGGGGAAGGATGGGAGAAAGATTTACTGCATAAATTGTCAGTAATGTAGTGAGGTCCTTCCTCAAGGGGACCTGGCCTCCCCTTCATTCAAGTGGCTTTGGGTTTGTAAACTCACTCAAGTCTGGAAATTGATTGAGGGGCCATGATTCTGTTTTTATAATTCAAATTAGTCTTTTGTCCATTTGAGCTAGAAGTCTTCTGCTTGTATAAATTAAGTAGGAATGCAGTAGGTTTCCTATTAATTTCACTTCTAGGAACACAGTGATTAATTAACCAGTGCCAGAGCTCTATACAAGTCAGACTATTCTGATTGCCACTTTGCCTCTGCTGTCCATTATGGCAGTAGCTATGCCCACCTTGCCTTTGACAGTTGAGTGCCACCACTTGGCCCCTCCCACCTCAGGATCCAATTATTCCCATTGTATTTAAATTTTGTAGTTGAGTGACTGTGGTTTCCACTGTTAGATCTGACATACAGAGAAGAGCAATTACAGGGCTCTTCAAAGATGCAGGTGCTGCCCTCACAAATCTGTTTTGCAAGGCATTGGTCAAGGGTGTATCTTCTGGACCCTCTCAGCTGGGATAAGTAGGTCTAAAGTGGCTAATCCACTCCACCATCCCAATCTCCCTAAGCCTTTGGATCCCTTCCTCTACATTAAACCAAGGGAGATCAGGCATTTCCAGCTCATTCACAGTGGGCCATCTTTTAATCCATATTTCAGCTAACAAAGCAAATAAATTATTAGAACTTTTTTGAACTCCTTGAGCTGCAACATTAAATGCAGAGTCCCTACTTAGTGGGCCCAAATCAATAAATTCAGCCTGATCCAACTCTATGTTCCTTCCACCATTATCCCACACCCTTAATATCCATTCCCATGCCTGTTCTTCAGATTTCTGCTTATATAAATTAGAAAACTCAAGCAGTTCTTTTTGAGTGTAGTGCACCTCCCCATAGGTCACACTCTCAACCTCACCTCTAGGGGCCTGCCAGGACTTTAGTCTAGTTATATGTCTAGAAGCAAACAGGGGTGTTGGGGGTGGCTCCTGATGAGAATCAACATTATCTTGCCTGGAAACTGCCTCAGGGAAGCCCATCACTGTTGTCTCAGGCAGCGCAAACTTTATCTCCTCAGACAAAGGTGGAAAGGCTGATGGCAGCATGGGTCGGGGAGGGGATGCTGCCACTACTGGGGATGGGGAAGCTGTTTGTTCTGGTAAAAAAGTTTCATCGAGAGAAGGCAGGAAAGGAGGCTGTGTGTGTGCAAGGTGTGGGGGTGGTTAGAGGATCCTTCTATGCTCCAAGTCAGCCCTGAGTCTCCATGACTCTTCTCTTTCTTCCCAAACACCCACTGAGCACTGTGGGGTATTGACCGCAGCCCTTACCTTCCAGGGACTTTGATGATGCATAAAATGAGGTCATCCTTGGAGTTGGCAGGAAAGTCAGAGAAGGAGGTGCTCCAGGAGGCAGGATTAAATCAGGAGTTATCAGGGTTTAGAAATTATAACATAAATCACAGCATCTACCACGTAGTAGGCACTGCTCTAAGCTCACAAAGTCCCCATAAGCCTTCAAGATAAATTCTATTATCATCCTCATTTTGCAGATTAGGAATTGAGGCACAGAGAGGTTAGGTAATTTGTGCAAGTCACACAGCTGAGAAATGGCAGAACTGGGATTTGAAACCCAGGCAGAGTGGGTCTGGATGTCATGATCTTAACCATGATGAAATTTACCAATGACCCTCTCCCTCTCCCTCTCCCTCACGGTCTCCCTCTCCCCACGGTCTCCCTCTCCCTCTCTTTCCACGGTCTCCCTCTGATGCCGAGCCGAAGCTGGACTGTACTGCTGCCATCTCGGCTCACTGCAACCTCCCTGCCTGATTCTCCTGCCTCAGCCTGCCGAGTGCCTGCGATTGCAGGCGCGCGCCGCCACGCCTGACTGGTTTTCGTATTTTTTTGTTGGAGACGGGGTTTCGCTGTGTTGGCCGGGCTGGCCTCCAGCTCCTAACCGCGAGTGATCCGCCAGCCTCGGCCTCCGGAGGTGCCGGGATTGCAGACGGTGTCTGGTTCACTCAGTGCTCAATGGTGCCCAGGCTGGAGTGCAGTGGCGTGATCTCGGCTCGCTACAACCTCCACCTCCCAGCCGCCTGCCTTGGCCTCCCAAAGTGCCCAGAGTGCAGCCTCTGCCCGGCCGCCACCCTGTCTAGGAAGTGAGGAGCGTCTCTGCCCGGCCGCCCATCGTCTGAGATGTGGGGAGTGCCTTTGCCCCGCCGCCCCGTCTGGGATGTGAGGAGCGCCTCTGCCCGGTTGCGACCCCGTCTGGGAGGTGAGGAGCGTCTCTGCCCAGCCGCCCCATCTGAGAAGGGAGGAGACCCTCCACCTGGCAACCACCCCGTCTGAGAAGTGAGGAGCCCCTCTGCCCGGCAGCCACCCCGTCTGGGAAGTGAGGAGCGTCTCCGCCCAGCAGCCGCCCCGTCTGGGAGGGAGGTGGGGGGGTCAGCCCCCCGCCCGGCCAGCCGCCCCGTCCGGGAGGGAGGTGGGGGGGTCAGCCCCCCGCCCGGCCAGCCGCCTCGTCCAGGAGGTGAGGGGCGCCTCTGCCCAGCCGCCCCTACTGGGAAGTGAGGAGCCCCTCTGCCTGGCCAGCCGCTCCGTCTGGGAGGGAGGTGGGGGGGTCAGCCCCCTGCCCGGCCAGCCGCCCCGTCCGGGAGGGAGGTGGGGGGTTCAGCCCCCCGCCCAGGAGCCGCCCCGTCCGGGAGGGAGGTGGGGGGTCAGCCCCCCGCCCGGCCAGCCGCCCCATCCGGGAGGGAGGTGGGGGGGTCAGCCCCCCGCCCGGCCAGCTGCCCCGTCCGGGAGGGAGGTGGGGGGGTCAGCCCCTCGCCCGGCCAGCCGCCCCACCCCAGAGGTGAGGGGCGCCTCTGCCCGGCCGCCCCTACTGGGAAGTGAGGAGCCCCTCTGCCCGGCCACCACCCCGTCTGGGAGGTGTGCCCAACAGCTCATTGAGAACGGGCCATGATGACAATGGCGGTTTTGTGGAATAGAAAGGCGGGAAAGGTGGGGAAAAGATTGAGAAATCGGATGGTTGCCGTGTCTGTGTGGAAAGAAGTAGACATGGGAGACTTTTCATTTTGTTCTATACTAAGAAAAATTCTTCTGCCTTGGAAAAAAAAAAAAAAAGTTTCATCACAGTTTACAAACTCAGTGTCCCCAGTTTCATCAGGGTCCTCCCACACATCCCCATTCCAAGCTGCAGGGTCCCATTCTTTTCCAATCAAACCCTCACTTTAACAGTAGACACCTGGCAAGGCTGTACATTCAGCTTTCATTGCAGGTCAGCCACTCTCATGCTTAGAGCTTGTGTCTGTTTTTCCACAATTTCAGCTCTTTCTCTACAGGAGATAAGACTCTCACTCAGGGCAATCTTGGCAGATTTCAGGCTCAGTATCTGCTTCTGAAGCTGGCAGTTAAAATCCCTGAGTTCATCATTTTCTTCCATCACTTTGTCCACTGGACTTAGGAGCAATCAACCAGCTTCACTGTGTTTCTTGGTTCTCCACATATGGTCAAAGGTATTATGTATACAGTCACTAAACTCTTTGCCTCTCATGAGTGGTGAATCAAGAGTGTCAAATGCATTTATTTTGCATAACTCTCTAAACAGTTCATGCCAAGGACTATTAGTGCTCTCCATACTATTAGAAGTAGAGTCCTTCGCATTTTTGGGTCTAATCATATTCAGCAGCCAACTCCAGAAACACCAAAACCAATGAAAGAACTCCATCCTTAATATTATTTTCCTCTAGAACCATTCCTGGTACCAAAATCTGTATTAGTCAGGGTTCTCTAGAGGGACAGAACTAATGGAATAGATATATATGCATAAAGGGGAGTTTATTAAGTATTAACTCACATGATCACAGGTCCCACAACAGGCCACCTTCAGGCTGAGGAGCAAGGAGAGCCAGTCCGAGTTCCAAAACTGAGGAACTTGGAGTTTGATGTTTGAGGGCAGGAAACATCCAGCATGGGAGAAAGATGTAGGCTGGGAGGTTACTTTTCTTCCTGCTTATATTCTAGCAGCGCTGGCAGCTGATAAGATTGTGCCCACCCAAATTAAGGGTGGGCCTGCCTTTCCCAGCCCACTGACTCAAATGTTAATTTGACAACACCCTTACAGACACACCCAGGATCAATACTTTGTATCCTTCAATCTAATCAAGTTGACATTCAGTGTTAACCATCACATCCAAGTTTATGCAAATGTTGGAATTACAATACAAAAATTTTAAAGCAGCTTTTATAACTGGTCTCTATGAGACAAAGGTAAAGCCTCTTGAAATGAACAGAGGGATAGATGATCTTAGCAAAGAAGTAGAAAGCATTAAAAAAAGAACCAAATGGAAATTTTAGAACTGAAAAATATAAGAACTAAAATAAAAAATTCACCAGATGAGCTCAGTAGCAGAATGGCAATGACAGAGAAAAGGCAATTAACTTGAAGATAGACCAATATAAATTATCCAGTTGGAAGAAAGGGAAAAAAACAAAACAGATTAGAGCCTTTTTTTTTTATCCCCAAGATGGAGTGTTGCTCTGTCTCCCAGGCTGGAGTGCAGTGGTGCAATCTCGGTTCACTGCAACCTCTGCCTCCTGAGTTCAAGTGACTATTGTGCCTCAACCTCCAGAGTAGCTGGGATTACAGACGTGCGCCACCATGCCCAGCTAATTTTTGTATTTTTAGTAGAGACAGGGTTTCACCATGTTGGCTAGGCTGGTCTCAAACTCAGAACCTCAGGTAATCTGCCCTCCTTGGCCTCCCAAAGTGCTGGGATTACAGGTGTGAGACACTGCACCCAGCCCTCACTAGCAGATTTTGAAAATCTGTGATCTGTGCTATGTAACCCCCATTCTCCATAGTGTATAAAATTCAATGCAAACTGTAAAGCTCATTATTCCTTTGTAGCATGTGTCTACTTCTAGAAAATAGGGCAAAATGGAGACCTACTTCAGCCTTGGGGAGGGTGAAACAGAGGCTGTCCTTATGTCCTGTGACTTCTGGCCATGTCTTCTTTCTCTTGACTCTGCTGCTGCTCTTTCTGACCTTTCTCTAGCTCAGGAGTGAGCAAAATTTCCTGTAGGATGGCTATTTCAGAAAAAAATAAAAATAAAAAGCCATATTAAAACATTATGCTTTAGATAAAAAACCATCTAAAACCAAGCTTAGGCATTTCTTTAAAATTTTCCTTTCACTAATGTTTTTCTCTTTATTCATTTGTCTTTTCTTTCGTTTCTTTTTGTTTGAAAAAAAACACACTTACATATTGCAGTTATGCAATATACTTTGGAATCCCTAATTATAATGCTTCTTCCTGAACACATTTTATTTTGGCATCTTTTTGTTGTTCACCCTTCCTTGTTTTGCCTTTAATCTACAAAAGGCAAAACAGGCCTTTTCTGTCTCACTCAGGCCTCTAAAAATTGTATCTTTTAAATTTAGGAATAGAATGGAAGAAAGGAAAAAATTTTATTAAGATTATATCTTTTTTTTTTTTTTTTTTTTTTTTTTTTTGAGATGGAGTCTTGCTCTGTCACCAGGCTGGAGTGCAGTGGCGCAATCTCGGCTCACTGCAACCTCTGCCTCCTGGGTTCAAGCAATTCCCCTGCTTCAGCCTCCTGAGTAGCTGGGAATACAGGTGCGCACCCCCAAGACAGGCTAATTTTTTTGTGTTTTAGTAAAGACGAGGTTTCACCATGTGGCCAGGATGGTCTCGATCTCCTGACCTCGTGATCCACCCACCTTGGCCTCCCAAAGTGCAGGGATTACAGGCGTGAGCTACCTGACCTGGCCACAATTGTATCTTTTAAGACAAGACATTTTCTTTTTCATTTTAAACAAGTGGCAATGTCCGTAGTACCCAAGAAGTACTCCTCAATTAACTTATTTGAAACCATTAACATTATCAGTCATTTTTCTATATTGATAGCATCCACAGCAAGGATTTCCACTTTAGTTATACCTACATCCAGCCAATTTGGCCTCACAACCAGCAAAAAAATCGGATCCATTGTTTTTCAGGAGAGCATAGAAACACTGGTTGTTCAATGTAAGAGGTGAACCTGGCTGAGCTTGGTCATCCCTGGGCTATTTTCTCCCTTCTGTAAACCTAAGGTTTCCTGACTAAAGCTAATCATGATGGCCTCACTCTTATGCAAATGAGCAGAGAATGTGAAGAGAAATAATAACAGAGAAAATGACAATGGGTTTGGAGGAAGAAGACCAGGGTCATCTTTGCAGCTAAATGCTCATTGATCTCAGAGAGGTGGCCTAAGTAAGCAGGAAGCCCAGGCTACTCTGTGGGATGCTCATCTTTTTCCGAGTGGATTTCCTGATAATCACAACTCAGAAGAGTTTTTCCTTTAAAGTGACAGCATTGGGGTGCTTGTCTATAATCAGTCCTAAGTGATGCTTGCTTAAAGATTCCACAGTAGCACTGAAAATAAAATTGAAAATTCTTTCTGCCTTAAGGTGTATACATTATTGGTTTTTGTATGTTTGCTGATTTAAAATAATCATTATTAAAATGATTTTTAATAAAATAATCAGCATTAAAATATGCTGATTTTAAAATAATCATTTTATCTATAATATGACAATTCAGAAAATTCTGATATTTAAATAATTCATGGTTCTTTGCATTCTGTTAGGTATAAAGCATTTTTTTCTATTAAAAGTGCAGAAGCTTTTTTTTGGGGGGGAAACTAGACTTTCTTTTTTTTTTAAATTATTATTATACTTTAAGTTTTAGGGTACATGTGCACAATGTGCAGATTAGTTACATATGTATACATGTGCCATGCTGGTGTGCTGCACCCACTAACTCGTCATCTAGCATTAGGTATATCTCCCAATGCTATCCCTCCCCCCTCCCCCCACCCCACAACAGTCCCCAGAGTGTGATGTTTCCCTTCCAGTGTCCACGTGTTCTAATTGTTCAATTCCCACCTATGAGTGAGAATATGTGGTGTTTGGTTTTTTGTTCTTGCGATAGTTTACTGAGAATGATGATTTCCAATTTCATCCATGTCCCTACAAAGGACATGAACTCATCATTTGTTATGGCTGCGTAGTATTCCATGGTGTATATGTGCCACATTTTCTTAATCCAGTCTATCATTGTTGGACATTTGGGTTGGTTCCAAGTCTTTGCTATTGTGAATAATGCCGCAATAGACATATGTGTGCATGTGTCTTTAAAGCAGCATGATTTATAGTCCTTTGGGTATATACCCAGTAATGGGATGGCTGGGTCAAATGGTATTTCTAGTTCTAGATCCCTGAGGAATCACCACAGTGACTTCCACAATGGTTGAACTAGTTTACAGTCCCACCAACAGTGTAAAAGTGTTCCTATTTCTCGACATCCTCTCCAGCACTTGTTGTTTCCTGACTTTTTAATGATTGCCATTCTAACTGGTGTGAGATGGTATCTCATTGTGGTTTTGATTTGCATTTCTCTGATGGCCACTGATGGTGAGCATTTTATCATGTGTTTTTTGGCTGCATAAATGTCTTCTTTTGAGAAGTGTCTGTTCATGTCCTTCGCCCTCTTTTTGATGGGGTTGTTTGTTTTTTTCTTGTAAATTTGTTGGAGTTCATTGTAGATTCTGGATATTAGCCCTTTGTCAGATGAGTAGGTTGTGAAAATTTTCTCCCATTTTGTAGGTTGCCTGTTCACTCTGATGGTAGTTTCTTTTGCTGTGTGGAAGCTCTTTAGTTTAATTAGATCCCATTTGTCAATTTTGTCTTTTGTTGCCATTGCTTTTGGTGTTTGATACATGAAGTCCTTGCCCATGCCTATGTCCTGAATGGTAATGCCTAGGTTTCCTTCTAGGGTTTTTATGGTTTTAGGTCTAACGTTTAAGTCTTTAATCCATCTTGAATTGATTTTTGTATAAGGTGTAAGGAAGGGATCCAGTTTCCGCTTTCTACATATGGCTAGCCAGTTTTCCCAGCACCATTTATTAAATAGGGAATCCTTTCCCCATTGCTTGTTTTTCTCAGGTTTGTCAAAGATCAGATAGTTGTAGATATGCGGCGTTATTTCTGAGGGCTCTGTTCTGTTCCATTGATCTATATCTCTGTTTTGGTACCAGTACCATGCTGTTTTGGTTACTGTAGCCTTGTAGTATAGTTTGAAGTCAGGTAGTGTGATGCCTCCGACTTTGTTCTTTTGGCTTAGGATTGACTTGGCGATGTGGGCTCTTTTTTGGTTCCATATGAACTTTAAAGTAGTTTTTTCCAATTCTGTGAAGAAAGTCATTGGTAGCTTGATGGGGATGGCATTGAATCTGTAAATTACCTTGGGCAGTATGGCCATTTTCACGATATTCATTCTTCCTACCCATGAGCATGGAATGTTCTTCCATTTGTTTGTATCCTCTTTTATTTCCTTGAGCAGTGGTTTGTAGTTCTCCTTGAAGAGGTCCTTCACATCCCTTGTAAGTTGGATTCCTAGGTATTTTATTCTCTTTGAAGTAATTGTGAATGGGAGTTCACTCATGATTTGGCTCTCTGTTTGTCTGTTGTTGGTGTATAAGAATGCTTGTGATTTTTGTACATTGATTTTGTATCCTGAGACTTTGCTGAAGCTGCTTATCAGCTTAAGGAGATTTTGGGCTGAGACAACAGGATTTTCTAGATATACAATCGTGTCGTCTGCAAACAGGGACAATTTGACTTCCTCTTTTCCTAATTGAATACCCTTTATTTCCTTCTCCTGCCTAATTGCCCTGGCCAGAACTTCCAACACTATGTTGAATAGGAGTGGTGAGAGAGGGCATCCCTGTCTTGTGCCAGTTTTCAAAGGGAATGCTTCCAGTTTTTGCCCATTCAGTATGATATTGGCTGTGGGTTTGTCATAGATAGCTCTTATTATTTTGAAATACGTCCCATCAATACCTAATTGATTGAGAGTTTTTAGCATGAAGGGTTGTTGAATTTTGTCAAAGGCCTTTTCTGTATCTATTGAGATAATCATGTGGTTTTTGTCTTTGGTTCTGTTTATATGCTGGATTACATTTATTGATTTGTGTATATTGAACCAGCCTTGAATCCCAGGGATGAAGCCCACTTGATCATGGTGGATAAGCTTTTTGATGTGCTGTTGTATTCGGTTTGCCAGTATTTTATTGAGGATTTTTGCATCAATGTTCATCAAGGATATTGGTCTAAAATTCTCTTTTTTGGTTGGGTCTCTGCCTGGCTTTGGTATCAGGATGATGCCGGCCTCATAAAATGAGTTAGGGAGGATTCCCTCTTTTTCTGTTGATTGCAATAGTTTCAGAAGGAATGGTACCAGTTCCTCCTTGTACCTCTGGTAGAATTCAGCTGTGAATCCATCTGGTCCTTGACTCTTTTTGGTTGGTAAGCTATTGATTATTGCCACGATTTCAGATCCTGTTATTGGTCTATTCAGAGAGTCAACATCTTCCTGGTTTAGTCTTGGGAGAGTGTATGTGTCGAGGAATTTATCCATTTCTTCTAGATTTTCTAGTTTATTTGCATAGAGGTGTTTGTAGTATTCTCTGATGGTAGTTTGTATTTCTGTGGGATCAGTAGTGATATCCCCTTTATCATTTTTTATTGCATCTATTTGATTCTTCTCTCTTTTCTTCTTTATTAGTCTTGCTAGCGGTCTATCAATTTTGTTGATCCTTTCAAAAAACCAGCTCCTGGATTCATTAATTTTTTGAAGGGTTTTTTGTGTCTCTATTTCCTTCAGTTCTGCTCTGATTTTAGTTATTTCTTGCCTTCTGCTAGCTTTTGAATGTGTTTGCTCTTGCTTTTCTAGTTCTTTTAATTGTGATGTTAGGGTGTCAATTTTAGATCTTTCCTGCTTTCTCTTGTGGGCATTTAGTGCTATAAATTTCCCTCTACACACTGCTTTGAATGCGTCCCAGAGATTCTGGTATGTTGTGTCTTTGTTCTCGCTGGTTTCAAAGAACGTCTTTATTTCTGCCTTCATTTCGTTATGTACCCAGTAGTCATTCAGGAGCAGGTTGTTCAGTTTCCATGTAGTTGAGCGGTTTTGAGTGAGATTCTTAATCCTGAGTTCTAGTTTGATTGCACTGTGGTCTGAGAGATAGTTTGTTATAATTTCTGTTCTTTTACATTTGCTGAGGAGAGCTTTACTTCCAAGTATGTGGTCAGTTTTGGAATAGGTGTGGTGTGGTGCTGAAAAAAAATGTATATTCTGTTGATTTGGGGTGGAGAGTTCTGTAGATGTCTATTAGGTCTGCTTGGTGCAGAGCTGAGTTCAATTCCTGGGTATCCTTGTTGACTTTCTGTCTCGTCGATCTGTCTAATGTTGACAGTGGGGTGTTAAAGTCTCCCATTATTATTGTGTGGGAGTCTAAGTCTCTTTGTAGGTCACTAAGGACTTGCTTTATGAATCTAGGTGCTCCTGTGTTGGGTGCATATATATTTAGGATAGCTAGCTCTCTTGTTGAATTGATCCCTTTACCATTATGTAATGGCCTTCTTTGTCTCTTTTGATCTTTGTTGGTTTAAAGTCTGTTTTATCAGAGACTAGGATTGCAACCCCTGCCTTTTTTTGTTTTCCATTTGCTTGGTAGATCTTCCTCCATCCTTTTATTTTGAGCCTGTGTGTGTCTCTGCACGTGAGATGGGTTTCCTGAATACAGCACACTGATGGGTCTTGACACTTTATCCAATTCGCCAGTCTGTGTCTTTTAATTGAAGAATTTAGTCCATTTACATTTAAAGTTAATATTGTTATGTGTGAATTTGATCCTGTCATTATGATGTTAGCTGGTTATTTTGCTCATTAGTTGATGCAGTTTCTTCCTAGTCTGGATGGTCTTTACATTTTGGCATGATTTTGCAGTGGCTGGTACCAGTTGTTCCTTTCCATGTTTAGCGCTTCCTTCAGCAGCTCTTTTAGGGCAGGCCTGGTGGTGACAAAATCTCTCAGCATTTGCTTGTCTGTAAAGTATTTTATTTCTCCTTCACTTATGAAGCTTAGTTTGGCTGGATATGAAATTCTGGGTTGAAAATTCTTTTCTTTGAGAATGTTGAATATTGGCCCCCACTCTCTTCTGGCTTGTGGAGTTTCTGCGGAGAGATCCACTATTAGTCTGATGGCCTTCCCTTTGAGGGTAACCCGACCTTTCTCTCTGGCTTCCCTTAACATTTTTTCCTTCATTTCAACTTTGGTGAATCTGACAATTATGTGTCTTGGAGTTGCTCTTCTTGAGGAGTATCTTTGTGGCATTCTCTGTATTTCCTGAATCTGAATGTTGGCCTGCCTTGCTAGATTGGGGAAGTTCTCCTGGATAATATCCTGCAGAGTGTTTTCCAACTTGGTTCCATTCTCCCCGTCACTTTCAGGTACACCAATCAGACGTAGATTTGGTCTTTTCACATAGTCCCGTATTTCTTGGAGGCTTTGCTCCTTTCTTTTTATTCTTTTTTCTCTAAACTTCCCTTCTCGCTTCATTTCATTCATTTCATCTTCCATCGCTGATTACCTTTCTTCCAGTTGATCGCACCGGCTCCTGAGGCTTCTGCATTCTTCACGTAGTTCTCGAGCCTTGGTTTTCAGCTCCATCAGCTCCTTTAAGCACTTCTCTGTATTGGTTATTCTAGTTATACATTCTTCTAAATTTTTTTCAAAGTTTTCAACTTCTTTGCCTTTGGTTTGAATGTCCTCCCGTAGCTCGGAGTAATTTGATCATCTGAAGCCTTCTTCTCTCAGCTCGTCAAAGTCATTCTCCATCCAGCTTTGTTCCGTTGCTGGTGAGGAACTGCGTTCCTTTGGAGGAGGAGAGGCGCTCTGCTTTTTAGAGTTTCCAGTTTTTCTGTTCTGTTTTTTCCCCATCTTTGTGGTTTTATCTACTTTTGGTCTTTGATGATGGTGATGTACAGATGGGTTTTTGGTGTGGATGTCCTTTCTGTTTGTTAGTTTTCCTTCTAACAGACAGGACCCTCAGCTGCAGGTCTGTTGGGGTCCTGGGCCCTGTGAGGTGTCAGTCTGCCCCTGCTGGGGGGTGCCTGCCAGTTAGGCTGCTCGGGGGTCAGGGGTCAGGGACCCACTTGAGGAGGCAGTCTGCCCGTTCTCAGATCTCCAGCTGCGTGCTGGGAGAACCACTGCTCTCTTCAGAGCTGTCAGACAGGGACATTTAAGTCTGCAGAGGTTACTGCTATCTTTTTGTTTGTCTGTGCCCTGCCCCCAGAGGTGGAGCCTACAGAGGCAGGCAGGCCTCCTTGAGCTGTGGTGGGCTCCACCCAGTTCGCGCTTCCCTGCTGCTTTGTTTACCTAATCAAGCCTGGGCAATGGCGGGCGCCCCTCCCCCAGCCTTGCTGCCGCCTTGCAGTTTGATCTCAGACTGCTGTGCTAGCAATCAGCGAGACTCCGTGGGCATAGGACCCTCCGAGCCAGGTGTTGGATGTAATCTCCTGGTGGGCCGTTTTTTAAGCCCGTCGGAAAAGCGCAGTATTCGGGTGGGAGTGACCCGATTTTCCCGGTGCCGTCTGTCACCCCTTTTTTTGACTCGGAAAGGGAACTCCCTGACCCCTTGCGCTTCCCAAGTGAGGCAGTGCCTCGCCCTGCTTTGGCTCGCGCACGGTGCGTGCACCCACTGACCTGTGCCCACTCTCTGGCACTTCCTAGTGAGATGAACCCGGTACCTCAGATGGAAATGGCAGAAATCACCCGTCTTCTGCGTCGCTCACGCTGGGCGCTGTAGACTGGAGCTGTTCCTATTCGGCCATCTTGGCTCCTCCCCGCCGGAAGCTCGCAAAAGCTTTTTTGTAGACACCAAGTACAATCTTTGTAAATGTAGTTGTCTCAAAAAACATCTGTCCAAACAATTCTTAAACTAAATATCCATAATATAGAAATATATAGGCAGATATAAAACTATTTTTAAACTTCGGTCATAGCAAACTGAAGATTATCTAAGTTTTAAAAAAGTTATTTTCAGCCTGTTTGCAAGATTATAGCTTTATGTCTAGCATAAATATTTCTCCTAGTTTTCTGGAACAGATAGGCTAGAAAACATTTACAAACAAATAAAAATAAAGAATTTCAGGCAACAATAAAAGTTAAAAAAGAAAGAAGGCTGTTTAAAAAACCTTTACCAGGCTGGGTGCAGTGTGGCTCACGCCTGTAATCCCAGCACTTTGGGAGGCCAAGGCAGGTGGATCACTTGAGGTCAGGAGTTCGAGACCAGCCTGGCCAATGTGGTGAAACTCCATCTGTACTAAAAATACAAAAATTAGCCAGGGGTGGTGGCGCACGCCTGTAGTCCCAGCTACTCAGGAGGCTAAGGTAGGAGAATCACTTGAATCCAGGAGGTAGAGGTTGCAGTGAGCTGAGATGGCGCCACGGCACTCCAGCCTGGGTGACAGAGTGAGACTCCGTCTCAAAAAAAAAAAACCTTTACCAGTTCCAATGCATTCATGCTGACACCACCATAACAAAGTAGTTGAAATGTTTGTTGTGATCAAGAAATTGCAAATAAATGAAAAGCCAGGTAGGTGACTAGAAATAGTTTACCTGTACTACAGCAAGAAGAGGAAACTTACCATCCTGTGCAAAGAGGCAGCATGCAGGGCAGAAGGGCAGGAAGCCCAAGGGAGTCTGCAGTCAGGAACACTGAGTTGCCACCTCAGAAAAACATCCATCTCCCTTATTACCCCATGGTGCTTTTCTGCCACACATCAAACACCAGATGGACAGCCAGCTGTCAGAAAACGTTGTCTGCTTGCCTCATAAATGGGAATATAGTGTGTAGAAGGTACCGTTTTAGAGTCTTGTACTTTCATGTGGAAGTGCTAGTAAGGCAGCAGGAGCTCAGGGTAGGGGTTACACGTTGCAAAAATGTCCAGAAACATCAAACACTGTGCTCTCTGCAAAAAGGTAGGCTCCAGCTTTAGCTGCTGATTATTTTGGCTCAAGCTGAGTCAAACAGTACACAAAGAATAGACAAAAGCCTGCAAACGACTGGCAGTCGCCATGGGGTTCACCAAACCAGTGCTGGCTCACTCCAGACATTGTTCTTTCCCTGTGGAAGCGCGGCTGCACCTGCGCCCAGATGAAGCTTGGCCACATCTCCTCTGCCGGACCTCTGGAAAACTCTCCTTTAGCGAGAAGATGGGACTCAGGTCATTGAAGGTTTTTGTTTCTGTACAGGGTTGAATGCTTATTCATATGGAGATTTTTATTCCGGAGTCTTCACTTATTTTAAGCTTGAGGGTTTGTTTTATTTATTTATTTTTATTTTACTATTTTTTTTTTTTTTTGCTGGAGCGCAGTGGCGCCATCTCGGCTCGCTGCAACCTCCGCCTCCCGGGTTCAAGCGATTCTCCTGCCTCAGCTTCCCGAGTAGCTGGGATTACAGGCGCCTGCCACCATGCCAGGCTAATTTTTGTATTTTTAGTAGAGACGAGGTTTCACCATGCTGGCCAGGCTGGTCTTAGAGCTTTTTTTTTTTTTTTAATGAACTATAAAATGAGGCATGACACAACTGTTAAAAACAGTTTCTTCTTCAATGACCAAACCCCAGTGCAGTTTCCTTTTTCTGGAGGCACATGGAATTAGCCACATCCCTCTAATATTAGCACTTATATTGCCTACTCAACCCTCTGACAAACTACCCACTCATTAATTGTCTGTTTTATTTTTGCCCTAATACCAATTCTCAGAGACCAATTTTTTTGAGTGCCTTCTGATCATTGTCAGGGCATATCAACTTTTTTTTTTTTTATTACTTTTTTCTTCAAGAAGTGAAAAGAAAAATCATTTTCTTTCATTTAATATTATGGGTATCAAGAATAATGTGATATTTATGGGTCTTAAGAACTGTCTGCCCATAGGGTTCATTTCTTAAATGACTATTTCTTAAATGTGTATAAAATATTCTATTACATGAGCAAGAGCCTCTTATTACTCTTTTCATTTTATAGAAAAGGAAATTAAGGGCAGTTACATGATTTTTTTTAGACAACATCTCACTCTGTCACCCAGGCTGGGGTACAATGGTACAATCACAGCTCACTGCAGCCTTGAACTCCTGGGTCCAAGCAATCCTCAGTTGTATGATTTCTGCAGAGCCCTACCATGCGGTGGAGGGAAAAGTTTATGATGAGAAACTTCAGGAATAATGATTTAAGCACTATTGTATTGTCATTTATCAGTGTGGGAACAGCATCAAGAAATCTGCACATTTCAGTCCTTTATAGAATGCAGAGGTGAGGAAAGAAAAAACACTTCTCTCAACACTTCCTTTTTTGGATTTTCTCCTGTATCAGATATAGCATAGGATTGCTGACCAGTGTTCACAGCTCCAGTGGGATCCTGGGTATTTCTAAGACAGAGCCTCTCTGAGCAGGAGATGTCTAGGGGTGGGTGAAGCAGTGGGCACGCTGTAAAAGCAGATCTCTCATGTTAGGCTTTCTTTCCCATTTGTAGTTATGTGGTTGAAAGATCCTTCTTTTGGTCAAGTATCTGTTTACTTCCACACAAGTATGTGGCTATTGTTATGTTCACAAAACACTCTGTTCAAAAGTCGACCTTCAAATATCCTTGATGGTAGAAAAGCAAACAAATGTGTCATTGTTCACTTAGATGACACAGGGCACCTCCCAATGTTTGCTCTAATCTGCTAATACCCTGTGGCAGGTGGAATCAGTTAAAAGAATTCCCACAAGAACCATTTTCTCAGTTGAACAAGATGGAAATTGCTCTGGATTAAGTTCAAATATCATTTGTGACTGTAGCACATAAAGACATTAAAGAAGTTTATAACACTGTGATGACTACTGTTCAACCATTACTTTCTCTTAAGATCCATCTCTATAGCCTATTCCCAAAACTTGGTAAGAAAATATAATGTGAAAGAGTGAACAACATAGCTATTTCACAGTAGGTCTAGTAATTCATATATGTTTAGTAATTCATATAGAGTCTAATTTTAAAAAATAAAGCAGGTAAAAATGACACTGATTGTTTCATTCATGGTCAGTCACAGAATCCCCCAGTATGGACCATGACAAACATCATGAGACATGCAAGAGGCACCAATATCCATAGTGGAAGCAAAGTCTCTGGAAGATACAAGTCAATCATTTGCCACAAATAATTTCCTGGGAAATTCATAACTGGGTAATTCCCATACAAGATGACTTCAAAAATGAAGTAGTGATCTGATTTCTGAGTCTGACTACACAACTGAACATATCAATAGAAAATGCACAAATCTTGAACAACAGGAGCCATAGTACTGATGAGATTATGTATTCTTATAACCTGTATAGGGAGTCCAATTGATTCAACACCGATGTTCTAAGATTTTATAAAATCAATAATTTTGAAGAAGAAACTGATATCACTGTTTCGTAGAAACGTCACAAAATTAAGGAAGACTTTAGCTTTGGCAGAGGGGCAAAGGGAAAAGCTAAATGAAGAAGCACAAAAATAAGACATGTTATCATCTTGGGAAGTCTTTGGTTTCATGTCTACTGCTGACTCACTCATTTTAATGACAATTCAGAAAATAGTATCTTCAGGATATTTCTATGTTAGCAACAAACAATTATTGATAAGTCTATATAGTTACATTTTTATACCTGCTTCACTCAAGAAGCAGTTGTAGTGAAACATAAAAATATGGAATATGATATTTCTGGTATCCTAAAATAAATTAGAATGAATAGATATAGCCTGTATTACCTAAGAGACACATTAATTTTAAACTTGTTTCCGTATTAAATCTTTATTATCTTTGCTCTATGTTATACAGTGAATGAAAAGTACACACTGGGGAAATATGGAAAATATCCTGAGTAGTACAATTCGTCTTGCAGCAAAACATTATGATCATTGTTATAATACATGTGCAGAGCTAAAGCCATTAATTAAAGTTTATGATTCTAGTTTTAAAAATTCAAAGAAGCAACTTATACTTCCTTGAAAGTGTAAAAGCATGTTAATAGCCTATTTACTTCGCAAAAAAATCAATAACAGAATCTGGCCCCATTACAAAATTCAAGAGGTACTATACTTAAAAAAAAAATCTATTAGTTAAGCAAATTCCATTACTTGAATGTGTTCCAAATAAAGAAGTTAATATTGATGAGAGACAGAACAAATTAAAGTATATTTAAAAACTCATAAAAATATAAATTAAAATATTGAAAATAACAGGAAAGAAAGTCTATGAATATTTTGGAAATTGTCATTAGGGAAAAGAGTGGCAATCCTTGTATTAGTGTTCTATTTCTGTAAGCAACTACCATAAACTTAAAGGCTTAAAACAAAATGCATTTATTATCTCACAGTGTTTTTGGGTCAGGAGCCTGGGAAAAGGTTTTCTGTGTCCTCAGATCAGGGTTTCACATGGCAGCAATTAAAGTGTCAGCTGGGCTGCATTCTCATCTGGAGAGTTAATTGGGGAAGAATCCGCTTGCAAGCTTATTCAGGTTGTGGGCAGAATTCATTTCTTTCAGCTTTATGACTGAAGGCCCCTTTTTCTTTTTTGAGACAGAGTCTAGCTCTGTCACCCAGGCTGGAGTACAGTCGTGCAATCTTGGTTCACTGCAACCTCCACTTCCCAGGTTCAAATTATTCTCCTGCCTCAGCCTCCCAAGTAGCTGGAATTACAGGTGCCCACCACCACACCCCAAATTATACAAAATTATACAAAAATATAATTTTTGTATGTTTAGTAAAGACAGAGTTTCGCCATGTTGGCCAGGCTGGTCTCAAACTCCTGACCTCAGGTGATCCGCCCACCTCAGCCTCTTAAAGTGCTGGGATTACATGTGTGAGCCCACCTCATCCATGAAGGCCCCATATTCTTACTGTCTGTCAGGTAGAGGCCACCCTGATGTCTTTAAAGGTCACTCACAGGTCCTTGCCATAAACCTCTCACAACATGGGGCAGCTTACTTTTTCAAAGTCAGTGGAAGAATCTCTCCTACCAGCCTGTTAGACATTGTCTTATATAATAAACATAATTGGAGCAGTGGCATCTTATCACATCTTCCATGTATTAATAGTATAACCTACTCAAAGGAGTTATACCCCCATTCTTTTGGTTAAAAGTGAGTCACCCACTTCTGCACACAAGAGAAGATTATACAAGGGTGTGACTCATTGGGAATCACTGGAGGGTGTGTTTGCCATAGTCCCTAGCATTTATCATGAATGCCTCCTTTCTGCAGGGTGCATTAACACTAGACGGTGATCTCTCTACCACTCTCTGGAACAAACGCAAACTTTAAAAGATGGTCCCCATGTCCACTTCTGAAAGAAGGAAGTGTAGGCTTAAATAATCAGCAACTATTTTGCATTTTAATGTGGCTGTGTTTTAATAATTAGTAGTTAGAATCCAGAACATGTGAGAGACATACTTCATATCTCACCTTTTAAAAGGTGGAAATTAAAAAGAGGACATATTTCAATGAAGGGGAATCTATGAAGGGGAATGTTGTGAGGGAGATGCAAGAATAGAAAATAAAGCTCAACAAAAATAGTAACAAAATCTCCTAAAGAAATTTTCAGAGGAAGTTTGATTTTGTAAAATTGAATTTGAAGGATTTCAAAGAGCAATTTAAAAGATCCTTACAAGTTTAAGAAAAATTGAGACAAAACAAAAATGCTGGTATCTACAAACTTTTAAAGAGAGCAGGAATTTGTCCCCCAAGGAAGGATATGCAACAGTTACTGAGGAAGGCTTTAAGTGACCTGTTCAATGGGAGAAGGAAAGAAAAAGCAAAAGAATCCTGATGGTAAGGATAAAGATTTCCCCAAGATAGCAGAAGTATTTCAAAGAATAAAACATAAAAATAGAGACAGTGAAACAGGAGATGGTTAAACAAGCAACAGTTGAAAATTAGGTTAAAAAAATTGGTAAAAGACCTCTGTAGATAACATTCAATTGGGTTTTTTTTTTGACATTTGAGAGTTTTAGTTACGTTAATATATGTAAGGCATAACATAATTCATTAATTTAAAATGAGAATAAAGTAATAAATGTGAGAACACTTTGATAAAAATATACAACTACAAAGTGTATTATATTTTGCATTCATTAAGATGCTTGTCTTGCTATTGTTTTTGTCGATAATAATGTGATGATGTAGTTTATTGACAATAGTGAGGTATGCATATTTAAGTATACTTGCCATTGATGTCAAAGTCAATAAAAACTTAATTGTTCTATTATAATTCTTGAATAATCTTTCTTTGTGTATGTTTAGTTATGCACTTTAAGTTTTTTTTCTCAAAAAAGTACACTAATTTCAATTAGTCATTTTTTAAAACTATTTTTTGGGCTGGGTGCAGTGGCTCATGCTTGTAATGCCAGTTTGGGAGGCAGAGGTGAGAGGGTAGCTTCAGTCCAGGATTTTGAGAACAGCCTAGGCAATATGGCAAGACCTCACATCTACAAAATATGAAAAAGTAAGTTGGGCATGGTGGTACGCACCTATAGTCCCAGCTGCTTGGGAGACTGAGGCAGGAAGATCACTTGAGCCTGGGAAGTCAAGGCTGCAATGAGCCATGATCATGCCACTGTACCCCAACCTGGGTGACAGAGCGAGACACTATCTCCAAAAAAAAGAAAAAAACAACTGTTTTTGGCCATCCACAAAAATGAAACTCTACAACCATAATCTCATTAATTTTCACATAATTCCAGGGAGGTTATCTAGCGTAATTTATTATATCCTTTTTTTATCTTAGGAAAATCAATGAAGGATAATTAGTATAAGTAATCTATGCCTATGAACAGTACCTCTGGCTGGAGCAAAGGAACTAGTTCATCTAGATGGTCATTTGAAAATTCAATATTTAAAAATTCAACTAACCGGCTGGGTGCGGTGGCTTACACCTATAATCCCAGCACTTTGGGAGGCCGAGGCAGGTGGATCACTTGAGGTCAGGAGTTCGAAACCAGCCTGGCCAACATGGCAAAACCCTGTCTCTACGAAAAATACAAAAATTAGCCTGACGTGGTGCCAGGCGCCTGTAATTCCAGCTACTTGGGAGTCTGAGGCAGGAGACTCTCTTGAACCTGGGAGGCGGAGGTTGCAGTGAGCCGAGATTGTGCCACTGCACTCCAGCCTGGGTGACAGAGAGACTTTGTCTCAAAAAAAAAAAAAAAAATTCAACTAACCAATTAGATAAACCTCATTGGTTTATCTAATTTATTTATCAAGTTTACTTGATGGAGACACGGGTATTTATGTTTTTTACTTTTGAGGTTGATCTTAATTAATATCATTGCATATTTTACCTCTTTGAGACTCCATGATTTCTTCACCTTTTTATCCAAGAAATAAAAGTATAAGAAGGATCTTATATATTAATAAATCTTAAATTTCTCATTAGTATGACTCCATTCTAAGCCCCATCTTATAATTTTTTTAATTTATGAAAATATAGAAACCATACCACCAAAATATACAATTTTAATACATTTACACATGCTTTTACTTCTAGGTGAGAAATAAAACAGTATTGCTGAGAAAATTATTAGAAATATGAACTACATCTCAGCTGTGATTACCTTAAAATCAATATTCCTTTATCTGAACAAGCAGCAGCAAAAATCATTAAGATGGGACTCTAGCAATTTAGGTTAAATTACAGCTCAATCATGAATTTGTTAGATCAGTTGGACAAATTGTTCCAACAATTTCCATTTCTGCCTCTTTTAAGTGTAATAAGCATAATCATCCTTGTTGGATACTATTATTTTGAAACCCATGTTTTTGGAAAAACTTTCAAGATTCTTAGATATCTAATATAAGAGAGGAAAGATACTATTACGAAAGTAATATCTGTCAAGGGGTAAGGTTTTTTTATCACATATATTTGAAATCATGTCCTTATTCATCCCCATGTGGGTGGTATGTGTGTTCACATACAACTCAGAGTAACACAGTATTTCATGAAATAAAATCCAGAACAGGCTTTAAAAAATATTAAGAATCCCGAGGAGTAAAGCAGGTGAATTTGTTTAAATGCCTGAATCCTGAGGACTCTTTTATCAATTCTACACAGCATCCAAAACATGTCAATGCTGTGGGTTCCTCTGTTAATCTGTTTTTGAATTTCCCAAGTGAAAAACATACCAAAGAAACAAAATTCAATTTAGAACTAGCTGCAGAGAGCCATGGACATGACTGGCTATGTTAAAACTCCAGCCCACCTCCACTGCGTGCACAAGCCATCCAGCTGCCCCTCGTAGCACCCAGCTGTCCCAGTGACGGTGTTTCCATGGCTATCACTACCACTACTCTGCCCCTGCAGCCTGTTAGACAAACACCCTTTGCTGTTTCTAAGAGTGCTTGCAGATCCACATAATTATCTTTTGTAGCTCTGATTCCCAAGGATTTGACCACTAGCTAAAACAACCATTTACCTGTTTTCATAAATCTTTTTTTCAGTTTTATTATTTATAATGGTTTTTTATATTGTCACAGCCGCCACCCCTTCCTCCACAATGCACGTCCTTTTCCCGTTAGCTTTTCTCTAAGTCTCCCTTAAATCTCAGCTAACAAGATCTCCTATGTATGACTAGCCATTCCTTTTCTTTGAATGTTCTTTAAAACAGACAAACCCCTATGATGACACACAGTTGGCTAAAAGTACATCATCAGGTGATCATACCACCGGTAGCAACTGTTAAGAAATCCCAGAGGTTAAAAGAGAAACCTGCTTTTCAGACCCAGTAAACTAAGAACTATCTTACAGTAGCACAGAATCAGCAGATGTTAAGCCTCAGGTCGTTGCTAGAGGACGTATTCCAAATTAGAGACCTTGGGGACCTCATCAAATTTGCCAGGATGTCTCAGTTTCTCCATTCTGCCTGGTGTATCCCTAAGAAAAAAAATTAAATAGAGTTTAGTTTTGGAACTAAAAGAGATTTGTATATTCACAATGCTTTCCCTGTGTCTAATAGCTTTAAGAGGTAAGTTTTTTTCAAACATTATTATTGTGGGTGTTCAACAAGGCTAAATATGTTTGTTGTTGTTGGTTTTTTTTCAAACCAGATTTACTTTTAAAAAGTACAACATGAAATCTGTGGATTATCAGAACACTTTTTAAAATTAAAGTATTTCTTCTTTTTCTATATTTTAAGTATAAAAAAGCAAATGACTTTTAATTTGTGCCTTCAGCTACTCATGTTGCATTAACTTAAACTGTATTAAAAAGTCATTTCTACTTTCCAGGTATTATAAACTGTCATGCTCCTAATAAAAAATTTTATATCACAGAAAATGTAATTTCCAAATTGCAATAAACAGCTTCTTTTCTCAGGTCCAGAGTCAAATATTGACTTTTTTAGCCCTGTTGGATTGTTCATTGACATAAATAACACTAGAGGGTGAGCAATGAATTTTTCTGATTTATGCAACATTGTCCTAATATTTCTGGAGGATAAAAATAGTTACATGGGCCAGACACAGTGGATCACACCCTAACCCCAGCACTTTGGGAAGCCTAGGCGGGCAGATCACTTGATCCCAGGAGTTCGAAACCAGCCAGGCCAACATGGCGAAACCCCATCTCTACTAAAAACACAAAAATTAACCGGGCATGGTGGCACGTGCCTGTAATCCCAGCTACTTGGGTGTCGGAGGCACGAGAATTGCTTGAACCCAGGAGGTGGAGGTTGCAGTGATCCAAGGTCACAACACTGCACTCAAACTTGTGTGACAGAGCGGGACTCTGTCTCAAAAAAAAAAAAAAGAAAAATTAGCAGGGAGTGGAGTGGTGGCACATGCCTATAGTCCCAGCTACTACTTGGGAGGCTGAGACCCAGGACTGCTTGAGACTGGGAGGTCGAGGCTGCAGTGAGCCGTGATCTCACCACTGCACTCCAGCCTGGGCATCAGAGTGAGACCTTGTCTCCACGAAAAAAAAAAAAAAAGATAAACATAGAATTACCATATAACCCAGAAATATATAACCCAGAAATTCCATTTGTAGGCGTATATGCAAAATAGTTGAAAACAGGTACTCAGATAAATACTTATATGTGAATATTCATAGCAGCACTATTCACAATAGCCAAGAGGTGGAAACAAACTGAGTGCCCATATTATTTTATTTTTCTTGAGACGGAGTCTTGCTCTGTCACAAACCTGGAGTGCAGTGTCACAATCTTAGTTCACTTCAACCTCCACCTCCCAGGTTCAAGCGGTTCTCCTGCCTGAGCCTCCCACGGAGCTGGGATTACAGACATGCACCACCATGCCCGGTTAATTTTTGTATTCTTAGTGGAGACGGGGTTTCGCCATGTTGGCCAGGCTGGTCTTGAACTCCTGACCTCATGTGATCCACCTGCCTCGGCCTCCCAAAGTGCTGGGATTACAGGTGTGAGTCACTGCACCTGGCCCAATGAAATATCATTTAGCCATAAAAAGAAATGGAGTACTGATTCCTACTACAACATGGATGAACCTTGAAGACATGTTTACTGAAGGAAGCCAGCCACCAAAGGCCACATACTGTATGGTTCTATTTATACAAAGTGTTCAGAAAAGGCAAATCTATAGAGACAGAAAGATTAGTGGTTGCAAGGGGCTGGGGGAAGGAGGAGAATGACCGCTAATGGTCTGGGGTTTCTTTTAGGGGTGATGAAAGTGTTTTAGTACCTTGTACTACCCACAAGCGTCCTTGCCTCTGTGCCCTAGAATTCTCTGAATCAATTCCAGCTTTCTACTTCTGATTTGGACAAGTTCAAGTGAAAGTTCAGAAATCTTATGGGCAAGCCCTATCTTTTATTGATCCAGTTCAACCTATAATTGTCCTAGGACTTAGTGTAGTTCTTTCTGAACCCAATGCTTGAATTATTGAATTGTATTCTCTTCGGTGTAAGCCATGGTCCTCTTTGAAGCTCAAAGTCTATGTACAAAAACAAACAAACAAAACTAAATACAGAAAGAACTCAGACTCAGTGGTTAGCAGTATAACCCCAGGTCCCTTCCCTCCTAGACACTAAGCAGAGTCATGATGCAGATTACTATTCCTCAGAACACACTGGCTTAATGTGTTGGGACTTTGCTTTTTGTTTTGGCAGGTCTCAAAAGTTTCTTAATGCTCTGGGACCTTAACCCTAAGAAAAGCTATGAAACTATTGCTACCTCTGCGCATGATCATCTTCATGATACTCATGCTCTAATTGATCATGACACTGTGTCCCAGATTTGTCCTTAGAATCCTTTTCATCATGCTACATGTAGCCACTAATTTTCAGTTGCATTTGCTACAAGAGAAGCCCATTCAGCATGGTTTGTTCAAATGGGGGAGGGGGCTAGGAGGCTGGGAGGAGGCAGGGGTAAGGGAAGGGATTCATTAACAAGAGGGGACCAGGCACAGAGGAAGAGGGAGTCCTACAGGCATAAAGAATGCTAAATTTGAAAAGAGCAAAGAGTTTTCAACACCGTAAGAAAGAAAAAAAGTTTACCAAATCTGATGGCCTTTTTCCTTTCATAGTTACACCAATACTATACGTGTCATACTTAAGAATATTTGTTCTTATAAGAAAAGAACACAATAGACTTGAAGTCTGGAGATCAAATGTTATTCCTGTTTTACTTCAACTAACCACTCTGGTTGACCTGGTACTTTCCTTTGAGGTTTTCTTTTATGTATTTGTTTTACTGTATATTTAAATACACACATGTGTGTATGTATGTGTGTATCTGTTCCTGCTAACAAAAGCAATTTATTCTTATTTTGAAATTTCAACTATTAGTAAGACATATAATGGAAAAAATAAGTAAAGATCCCCCATAATATCTCTCCTAGAGAAAAACCACTCAGTGATTTGGTGTCCATTCCTTCATTTTTTTTTTCTATTAACATTTAGTTTAGTCTTTTTAACAACTGCATAGTATTCCACTATTAGAATGCATCATATTTTATTTAACCACTACTGATGGACTTTTGAGTTGGGGACAGTATTGTCTTATTACAAGTAGTGCTTTAGTAAACATCCTAATATATATGTTTTTGTGCATTTGTGCAAGTATTTCTCCAGAGAAAATTTCTATAAGTGAAATTGCAGGATTGGAGAGTATGCACACTTAAAGTTTTAATAGATCTCCAAATACGTCATATCAAGGTAGACTCTCAGTAGCAGTGTATTAGACTGCATATTTCTGGTTTGTTTTTTAAGGAACATGAAAACAATGAGAAAAAGTGTTTAAAGATTAGGCTCCTATATTCTTAGGCCACAGTACTTAATAGGCAAAAAATAATCATGTCTCCAAGGGGAGTAATATCACAGCTGTGGGTTGTCAGGACGTCACAACCAGTAACAAATCTCACAATGTACCTTCTTGTACATTTCATTGATTTCTGAGATTCCTCAGCATTATTGGAATGGAAGAATACGATAGTATTTATATGGTTTCACATTAAAAAGTGAGATAAAAGGAGGAAAGTAAAACTTGTTTATGTTGTAATTTTTATTCCTTGCTTCATCTTCAGTTCTAACGCTCAGTCTCAAGATCAGGACAGCACATTATTGGTAATAATGTAATATAAAAATTTAGGTTCCTAAAAGTGACAACCTATTTTCTTCACCAAGTATCAGTGTTTAAGAAAAAACAACTAAACAACAAATTTGGGTAGAAAAACATATGCCTCTTCAAAATTACTTATTGTTTTTAGTTTAAACACTTACAACACTGCCTAGCCTTGTGTGACTTTTGTATAAAATAGTGAGCAAGTGTGGCCTAGTGGACAATATACTAATTAATAGCTAATACTAATAACTACTACTATTTTTGAGTACTAACACAGGCACTGTGTTAAGTGTTTTACAAGAATTATCTCATTTAATCTTCATTATAACCATATGACATGAGAGCTATTATTATCCCATCTACAGATACAACATATAGTTTTTTCCTGATAAGCACTTTAAGCACAGTTACAAATACAGATGCTTTGGACAGTGATTTATAATGCTGGAAAGTGCCTTAAAGCTCATCTTCCTCTTATAACTCATTTTTCCCTTGGAAGGCGATACTGATTGATTACATCTTTACTTTTCCTACCTTCGGTATTGTGAGGATTAAACATTACACAAAAATAGGACATGCAATTCGTTCTGGATTTATTTGACAATGAAGGGGAGAACGGTGGATCTTCTCAGCTGGGATTGAGCAGGGATCTGAGCCAGCCTCAGAAGCTGGAATCCTGCCCATAGGGTGGCCCTGTTTCACTTCCTTGCTAATGCCCAGGTGGGCACAACGTGGCTCTACTCTTCAAAAGTTCTCTTAACACAGGAGAGGTCTCAAGCTAGCCCTAAACAAGCAATAGGATTAGATCCTTGATGCTCATGGATAAACCATCCTGAGGACAATTTACCTCATTGATGAATTACTGTTGGGCAATTTATGAGTTGTACTATAATGTGAAAGTGAGGGAGAAGAAAGCCTCAATGTACAGTAAACACAGAATTTGGCAGAAAGGGATCCATGTAGGAAAAGAAGCCCGCGAATCTTAGTAGGTACATGCTGGGCACAGCATGGGCAATAAATTTTGAGGTCTGTAGAAGAAAAAATTGTATCACTGAGATAAAGTAAAAGAAGAGAGAAAATGATGTGAATGCACAAAGAGGGATTAACATTCGTTCCGCTTCAATACAAAAGTATATTGTGCTTGTATTGAAATATCAATTTTGAACAATACTTCATCTGCGCCCCAGGCTATTCGTAATAAAGATGTCCTCCTTGGAGCATAATGAAGAAGTCTCAGAAAGTTAGCAGTTAGAGGGAAGATGATAATCAATCAGCCTTGACGCAATTTGATCAAAAGTAATGAAAGAGATGGAGAGTAGGCGAGTGTTCTGAGCAGCAAACACTTAAGGAAAGAGCATTCGTTTTTACTGGTGTAACCTTTGGTATTTAATGCATTTACAAATGAGAATCTCATCTCTGCCTGCCATTCTTCTTTGTTTAAATATTGGTTGTTTATTAAACTCAATTCCTTAACAAAGTATTCAGTATCTAGTCATGCTTTTATGTAAGAAAAGATTCTCCAAAAAAGATATATTTTAGAAATTGATTTCTGAACTTTAGGTTTCACACTATCATCCCTTTCAGGGCCAGAAAGCAATTAGCTTTCTGTCAAACTGGGAAGTTAATCTGGAATGTTTTCAGGATGCTCAAGTTCCTGCAAGCTTTATACCTAAAGCAGATTCGCAGCTGTTCAGAGAACAACCTTTGAAGTAATCATGCTTTGCTAGCATCTCAGATGTTTTGCTTTGATCTGCAGGTACCATTTTTCCTAAAAAAAAAACTTTCTTATGATTGTTGTATTTCTTGTCACCAAACATTTAAGTTCTGCAATGTCCATATTCCTGTAAACCAAGGTTGACATATATGGGCAAATATTTTGCCAGTTGTGTTGTTTTTGGTAATATACAAGTAAGAGAAACAATATCACTGAAGCTGTGTTTTCTTTTAAATTCTCATTAAAATTCATTTTGATTATATAGTAATTTTATATTTTCCTTTCATGTTCACATTCTGGAATTTGAATAAGAAAGATGAAGTCATTTATCTGCAAACTTTATGCAAAATGAGAAAAAGAACAAACAATTTCTTAATGAGTTTTATTCCTATCATTGTTACAGCATAGGTTTTAGGAAGTTTTGTATAAAAGTATTTGATAACTAATATATGTTTAACAATTAATGAAATATTTACTAATTATCTTGCATATGAAATGGTATTTATAAAATGTGATGGAGAAGGAAAAAAAGAAAAGTGAAAAGGAAACAAGCAAGGAAGGGAGAAAAGGAAGAAACGCTAACAAGAGAAGATGGAAGTAAAAGAGAAAACAGCTAAAGTCAGGAAAGAAAACAAAAAGAAAGAAGATCAAAGAAAAGGAGGGAGACAAAAAGAAAAAAAGGCAAAATTGAAGTGATTATTTTCTACAAATCTCATTGAGTTATTGCTATTAATATATATTTCTGTATGTGTATAAATGTATATATACACATATATACATATACTTCTTTAAATAAATGTCTTTATTTCCTGAGTACACATAATACTAAGAAAAAGCAGTCCCAAATGTTTTTCTTTCCTGTTATTACATTTTAAGGGAAAGAAGATCTTAAAAGGAATATTTCCCAACCTTCTTGAATGCAAGGATAATGCAGCATGGTTATTATTTACAGTTTTAAAAAGCATTGCTTCTGTAAATTTTCCTACCCTGATATTTGCTGTTGAGGCATTCATCTGTTTATTTTAAAAAGATAATTGAATAGCTTATGGAACACTTTACCTCCTACCAACGTAAGGGGCTAAAAATGTTGAATAAATGAATAAACTGTAAATTAGTGTCTATAAAAGTCATTTAGATCTTAAAGTCAGATTACTCTCTGAAAAACTGGTATCTACTCTTCCAGAGGGCAATAAATACATGTGAGGTTAGACTTTATAACATTGCGTTTCAAAAATGTATTATAATCTAGCATCGCTAATCTTGATACAAACATTTTTAGCTTAGTTTTTATGTTTTGAATTCAGCTTTGATACCAGGACCACCTTGTGATTAGAAATCCTGTTTTGTCAGTTAGAATGTAGCCTGCTTCAGCTTATCTGGTCAATAGCTTTTCGCTCTGTTGCATACCTTGAGCATATGCATCAGCTACAATGTTTATAGGTAGCTGTATGGTGTTTGACACAGCACATGGCGTACCTTTAAAACAATTATAGCACTGGGATTTGGATCTGAATTTATGTTGCCTTGTCAAAGTTTCCTCTTTGTAACATGGTAGCCTTTTAAATATTAGGCAGCTACCTGCAACACTGGGCATTCAGACTAACCCATCAGGCTTATGGCATCTTGCTCTTCTCGTTCCCTCTCTGTGTGTTGGTACATCATGTTAGGTTTATGCAGTAGACATAGATAGGAAGCAAGCCAATTGGCTACAGGGTATTGAAAGTCAATTGCTGAGAATGATAAAAGACAAGGATAGCCTTCTCTGCAAAGAAGTGCTAAGAAGATTCTAAACGTATACAAGGATCTCAAGAGAAACAGTCCCAGATAGCAACACTATTCAGTCTTAGACTATGGCTGATACTATACACTTCTCCAGCTCCTCTGCTCCTCAGAGCAGAAAACAGAAGATTTTGAAATGAGCACCACCCCAGCTCCTGAATACAATGGTACCTTTCATCTATTTCTGGTGACTTTTATTTTCTTTTGTTGCTGGATCCCCTACATAATTGTAAGCATATCGCAGGCAAGCACAATGGTAAACAGTGGGTGGACGCTTCCTCCGCAGATGCAGACAATATCTGCCTGGCCAGCACTGCTTAATTCAGCCATTAACCCACTTTTAGACGCTCTTTTGAAGAAAAGGTGCAGAAAAGCTCTTAAGAACTTAAAGGAGAAGACGCTTTTCAAATTTCGTTTTCTGGTTCAAGATGTTTTGGTGAGTCTATCTGAAAATGCTAAGGAAAAAAGCAGAAAGAAAGGCCTTCCAAAGAGTCTTAAACAACCCCCAGGCCTCTTTTAGAACAAGCAACATGCGTAACATTTGGCAATGTGCAACACTGCAACTCATAAAGCAACCCAGTCTGATAAAGAAATACAGGAGTATATTTCAAACAATTTTTCTGATGGGGAAGAGAGATCCATCTGGATTGTGGGAGTTTGCAAATCAGAAGCAAGCAGCCCTTTCATACCCCAGTGGTAGAGGGTCTGAGGATGAAGATGAGTGCAGACGACATAACTCACAGACTAGAAGTTCAAGGTTTGCTGCCTGACATCTTGGAAGCAGCTACAATAGTTTCCTCTCTGGTGCTCCTGCCTTCACTAGTTTCCCCATCCAATCCGTCATACACACAGCATAGAGTAATATCCTTGAGGCACAGTGATTAAACTATGCACTCTGATTGAAAGTTTCAGTGGTTGCCATTCCCCAGAGAGCAAATGGACACAAGGCCCTCTTCCACAGCCCCCTCACTTGCAACATGCTCTTGCTCACAATACTAGACAAAGTACTTGATATTTTCTGGACATGCCCTGTACTTCTTCTTGATAAGTCTTCATCTTATTCTTTTCTCCTAGAATACTTATGCTCCACCTAGAATGCTTATGCCTCATTCTCTTTTATTGAAATCTTGGCTGGGCACAGTGGCTCCCAGCACTTTGGGAGGCCGAAATGGGAGAATTGCTTGAGCCTAGGAGTTTGAGGCTACAGTAAGCTGTGATTATGCCACTGCACTCCAGCCTGGGCAACAGAGCAAGACCCTGTCTCAAAAAATAAAAAATAAAAAATCCTACCCATTGTTATGGGTTGAATTGTGTTTTCCCAGAGATGCATTGAAGTCTTAACCCCCAGTACCTATGGATGTACTTATTTGGAAATCCGGTCTTTGCAGATCCTTAATTTAAGATGAGGTCACTAGGGAGGGTTCTAATTCAATATGACTGGTGTTCTGATTAAAAGGGGGGGGGGAATTTGGACACAGACACCAACACGCACAGAGGGAAGATGATGTGAAGACAGCCATCAATGATGGAGGCAGACATTGGACCCATGCAGCAGCAAGTGAAGGAGCAATGAGGATTGACAGCCACCACCGGAAGCTAGAGAGTGGCAAGGAAGGATTCTGCCTCAGAAAGTATGGCCTTGCCAACACTTTGATTTTGGATTTATAGCCTCCAGAACTGTGAGACAATGTTACCAAACTGAACAGGGTCCACTTTCCTGGCACAGTAAAGCCAAACATCCACACTGAGGTTTTGTAGTGGGAGAAAGGCAGGCATTTATTTGCAAGGCACCAAGAAGGAAAATCAGGCAGCCCATGCTTAAGACCTGACCTCCTCAGTGACTTACAGGCACCGGTTTTTAAAGGCAGGAATACATTTCAGGAAAGCAGAAGTTACAGGCAAACTTGTAAATCAACACATTGAGGTTATACATTGGTTTGGCCTAACAAGGTGGGACATCTTGAAGTAGGGGTGCTTACAGGTAATAGGTGGATTCAAAGACTCTGATTTGCAATTGCTTATGGAAGCAAAGTTTTGTCTAAAAACTTGAGGTCAGCAGAAAGGAATGTTTAGGTCTGATTTGTGGGCATGACTTCCTCCAGGCCCCTCAGGAAGGAATTTAGAACAAAGAACAGTGGTCAGAGTTCAGTGGTCAGTTCCCCCTTATCTGAGATCTACAGGCCAGCAGATCCACTTGGTGGGGATCTGAGTTTCTGAAAAACAACTCAAGGACATATGTGAAGATGTTATCCTTAGTTTCTTTAAGGAACAAAACATCTGTGACTCCAACTTCCTTAGCTATTGTTTTAAGCTATTGTCACCTTCTCAACTTATCAAGTTGTTCATTTTCTTCTCAGGGCTAGCTAGATGCCTGGAATTTGCCTTAAAGGAACCCACAATTTTCCTTTATTTCCATGCTTGGGAAGGGGGTAACTGGCAGGCCCCTAAGAGGGGTCCCTGCTCCATCTCAACAATAAGTTTCTGCTATTTTAAGTCACCCAGTTTGTGGCATATAGGTTGTTACAACAGGCCTAGAAAACTAATACTCTATCCCTCAAGGACATATTGCACCTACTCTGTTAAGCCTTCCCTGTTCAATCTATTTAAAGTAATCCCTTGCACCTCTTATGCTCCCCCACAGCCCTTATAATATTTTAAGAGCATGTCTTTTTGTTTACATTTTTCCCATTAAATTGTGAGCTCTGGGATAGACCCTTTATCCAGTTAATCTTTTTGTCCCTCCAAAGCCAGAATGTACAGCTCTGCATTTAGAAAGCTTCCCGTAGATGCTTATTAAGTTAGGGGAAGGGAATCTGTGTTTTTAAAGATACTAATGACAAATAACTTATAAGAAACTAATTTTAGATAATGTCTTGTTATCCTCTGTTAACTTATTAACCATTTCTGGAAGAATGCTTAGGAAAAAACACAGTGTAAAACTGGGAATGGACGGTAACAGGCAGTTTCCAGTTTCCAGTTTTCTAGTTACCATTTTTTACCTATAGATAAATTAAAAATTCCAGTTTGATAATATGCCATACTGACATGGATTTAATAAAACTAGCATTCCCATACATTAGTACAGTGAGGGTGCAAATTAGTACAATGTCTTTGGTGGGTGATTTGAAACACAGCTACCGAAATTTTTAATGTGCATAATTTTGGCTTAAAATTATGCTTTTAGGAATTTATCTAATAGTAATATTCACATGTGTTCAAAGATATATGTACAACTCTATTCAAGGCTGTGCTGTTTAAAATAGCTAAATAATTTTTGTTTTTGTTTTTTTTGAGACAGAGTCTTGCTCTATCTCCCAGGCTATAGTGCAGTGGCGCAGTCTTGGCTCACTACAACCTTCCCTTCCTGGGTTCAAGTGATTCTCCTGCCTCAGGCTCCTGAGTAGCTGGGACGACAGGTGCCCACCACCACGCCCAGCTAATTTTTTAATTTTTTTAGTAGAGACGGGGTTTCACCATGGTGGCCAGGGTGGTATCAAACTCTTGACCTCAAGTTATCCGCCCACGTTGGCATCCCAAAGTGCTGGGATTATAGGCATGAGCCACTGCACCCAGCCTAAAATAGCTAAATAATTTTGGAAAACATATGTGTCAATGAATAGGGTACTAACTGAATTATGGTTCATCTATAAAATGGAATATTATGCAGTCAATAGAAAGAATGGAGTGAAACTACATGAATTCATAGGAAAAGAGCTCCAATATATATTATCAAGTGAATGTAAATAAAAAATACAATGGAATATATAGGATACTTCTATTTGGGGTGAAGAATGTATAATGTAATATATAACATACATATGCTTATATATAATACGATTATTTTGAAATGATATGTAAGAAACCAATAACTGTAGTTATCTTTGGGAGGAAGATTGACAATTTTGGTTGGAAGGAAGATTACTTTTAATTCTATAAACTTTGGTATTATTGGAAATTTTACCAGATACATGTATAACTATTTACAATTTTAAAAGTTAATAAAAATTTATTAGCTGGGTGTGGTGACACATGCCTGGAGTCCTAGCTGCTCAGGAGGCTGAGATGGGAGGATCACTTGAGCACAGGAGTTCAAGGCTGCAGTGAGCTACCATAGCACCACTGTACTCCAGCCTGGGTGACAGAATGAGACCTTGTCTCTAAATAAAAAAATTTTTAAAAAGTTAACAAAAATTTTTCTTGGAGAAAAGCTACAGTTAAATATGTACACAAGGATTCCTGGGCAAGATGGCCGTATAAGAATAGCTCCTATCTGCAGCTCCCAGCAAGACCAACACAGAAAGTGGGTGATTTCTGCATTTTCAACTGAGGTACCCGGTTCGTCTCATTGGCACTGGTTAGACAGTGGGTGCAGCCCACGGAGGGCGAGCCAAAGCAGGGTGGGGCATTGCCTCACCCAGGAAGCTCAAGGGGTCGGGGAACTCCCTCTCCTAGCCAAGAGAAGCTGTGAGGGACTGTGCAGTGAGGGACGGTGCTATCTGGCCCAGATACTACGGTTTTCCTATGATCCTCGCAACGGACAGACCAGATTGCCACAGGTGCCTACACCACCAGGGCCCTGGGTTTCAAGCACAAAACTGGGTGGCCATTTGGGCAGACACCAAGCTAGCTGCAGGAGTTTTTTTTCGTACCCCAGTGGCACCTGGAACACCAGCGAGACAGAACCATTCACTCCCCTGGAAAGAGGGCCGAAGCCAGGGAGCCAAGTAAGTAGTCTTGCTCAAAGGATCCCACCCCCACGAAGCCCAGCAACCTGAGATCCACTGGTTTGAAATACTGGCTGCCAGTACAGCAGTCTGAAGTCTACCTGGGATAGCTCGCACTTGGTGCGGGGAGGGGCGTAAGCCATTACTGAGGCTTAAGTAAGCGGTTTTCCCTTTGTTTTTTGTGTAAAGAAAGCTGCAGGGAAGTTCAGACTGGGTGGAGCCCACCACAGCTCGGCAAAGCCGCTGCAGCCAGACTGTCTCTCTAGAGTCCTCCTCTCTGGGCAGGGCATATCTGAAAGAAAGGCAGCAGGCCCAGTCAGGGGCTTATAGATAAAACTCCCATCTCCCTGGGACAGAGCACCTGGGGGAAGGGGCAGCTGTGGACGAAGCTTCAGCAAACTTAAATGTTCCTACCTGCCGGATCTGAAGGGAGCAGAGGATCTCCCAGCACAGCGCTCAAGCTCTGCTAAGGGACAGACTGCCTCCTCAAGTGGGTCCCTGACCCCCGTGCCTCCTGACTGGGAGACACCTCCCAACAGGGGTCAATAGACACCTTATACAGGAGAGCTCTGGCTGGCTTCTGGTGGGTTCCCCTCTGGAACAAAGCTTCCAGAGGAAGGAACAGGCAGCGAACTTTGCTGTTCTGCAGCCTCTGCTGGTGATACCCAGGCACACAGGGTCTGGAGTGGACCTCCAGCAAATTCCAGCAGACCTGCAGCAAAGGGGCCTGTTAGAAGGAAAACTAACAAACAGAATAGCATCCAAATCAACAAAAAGGACGTCCACACAGAAACCCCATCTGAAGGTCACCAACATCAAAGACCAAAGGTAGATAAATCCACGAAGATGAGGAAAAACCTGTTGGGAACAGGCCCCCCAAAATCTGGCCATAAACTGGCCCCAAAACTGGCCATAAACAAAATCTCTGCAGCACTGTGACATGTTCATGATGGCCGTGACGCCTACGCTGGAAGGTTGTGGGTTTACCAGAATGAGGGCAGGAACACCTGGCCCACACAGGCCAGAAAACCGCTTAAAGGCGTTCTTAAACCACAAACAATAGCATGAGTGATCTGTGCCTTAATGACATGCACCTGCTGAAGATAACTAGCCAAACCCATACCTTTATTTTGGCCCATCCCTTTGTTTCCCATAAGGAATACTTTTAGTTAATCTAATATCTATAGAAACAATGTGTATCACTGGTCTGCTGTTAATAAACACGTGGGTAAATTTCTGTTCGAGGCTCTCTCAGCTCTGAAGGCTGTGAGACCCGATTTCCCACTCCACACCTCTATATTTCTGTGTGTGTGTCTTTAATTCCCCTAGCACTGCTGGGTTAGGGTTTCCCCGACCGAGCTGGTCTCAGCAAGCGGTGCCCGTACGTGGGGGCTCTAATCCAGGTCGAAGGGTCACTGGAGCAACAGTTGGAGAATGTGGAACTAAGCTGGAGGACACCCGAGTACTCTTAAAGCAATCCCCGTGATGAGTAAGAAGGGGAGCTCGGAAGTGTCAGGGTAACAATGGGACAAGTGTGGGCTCTGGTTCATTCCACCTTGGAACTTTTTCACACTGATGATGAGGAGGAAGGAGAGTATAACGAAGTAACAGAAGAGGTTACAGAGCAGGTTTGCCAGCTAAAGCTAAAGCTGCAAAGGAGGGAGAGGTTCATCGCTACCCTTCTGTACCCGCTCATGATTATTTTGAAGAAAAAGAGTGGCCTGACCCCCCAGATCTTCTTTTCCAGAGGACACTGGGCGAAAAGTAGTTGCCCCAGTGACTATTTGAGCAGCGCCTCGAGCGACCACTCTCAGTTCTATTCAGGCAGGAATTCAGCAAGCTAGAAGAGAGGGTGATTTAGAGGCTCGGCAGTTCCCTGTTAGGATACACCCCCCAGATCAACAGGGAAATATTATAGCTACACTTGAGCCTTTTCCTTTTAAGTTACTCAAAGAATTTAAACAAGCATGGTCATGTTAAAAAAAGAATGTAGAAAAATATCAGCGAGTCAGGCCACCAGATAGGGGAAAAAAGAAAACTTCTGAGCCTGAAATATGTCCAAAATGTAAAAAAGGAGAACATTGGGCTAATCAGTGTCACTCTAAGTTTCATAAAGATGGGAACCCGATTTTGGGAAACACCATGAGGGGCCCGTCCCAGGCCCCATTCCAAACTGGGCATTTCCGGCTCAGGCCATTCCCTCACCCCTGTACAATGTCTGTCCCCCGCCACAACCAGTAGTGCTGCAGTAGATTTATGCTGCACAAAAGCTGTGAGCCTTCTGCCTGGGGAACCCCCCGCAAAAGGTCCCAACAGGAGTCTGTGGACCCTTGCCAGCAGGGATGATAGGATTGCTTCTAGGAAGGTCTAGTTTAAATTTTAAAAGGGGACAAAAACATATAGGAGTCATTGATTCAGATTACAATGGGGAAATTCAAATTGTTATATCTATGTCTGTTTCCTGGAAAGCAGAGCAGGAGAGTGTATAGCACGGCTCCTGATTGTGCCATATGTGAGAATGGGGAAAAGTGAAATTAAATGAACAGGAGGATTTGGAAGCACAAATAAACAAGGTAAAACAGCTTATTGGGTGAATCAAATTATGGATAAATGTCCTACCTGTGAAATAACTATTCAGCGAAAGAAATTTAAAGGTTTGGTAGATACAGGAGTGGAAATTTCAATCATTTCTCTACAGCACTGACTGTCTGTGTGGCCAATTCAACCCGCTCAATTTAACACAGTTGGAGTTGGTAAAACCCCTGAAGTATATCAAAGTAGTTATATTTTGCGTTGTGAAGGGCCCGATGGACAACCTGGGACTATTCTACCAATTATAACTTCTGTACCTATAAATTCATGGGGAAGAGATTTATTGCAACAATGGGGAGCACAAGTTCTAATTCCAGAACACCTAGATCAAAACCAAAATTATAAAATATGTATCAAAAGTTATCTGGTCATTCCTCTCTTGGATTATTTCATCAAAATTACAGCCAGAAATTTGCCTGCTAGCTAATTTGTGCATTCTGAAATTCCTCTAACACATTTTGGAACTACAAAAGTGAATAGGAGCTGGTACCATTCCTTCTGAAACTATTCCAAACAATAGAAAAAGAGGGATTCCTCCCTAACTCATTTTATGAGGCAAGCATCATCCTGATACCAAAACCTGGCAGAGACACAACAAAAAAAGAAAATTTCAGGTCAAAATCCCTGATGAACATTGATGAGAAAATCCTCAATAAAATACTGGCAAACCAAATCCAGTGGCACATTAAAAAGCTTATTTACTATGATCAAGTGGGCTTCATCCCTGGGATGCAAGGCTGGTTCAAAATACACAAATCAATAAATGTAATCCATCACATAAACAGAACCAATGACAAAAACCACATGATTATCTCAATAGATGCAGAAAAGGCTTTCGATAAAATTCAACACCCCTTCATGCTAAAAACACTCAATAAGCTAGGTATTGATGGAATGTATCTCAAAATTATAAGAGCTATTTATGACAAAACCACAGCCAATATCATACTGAATAGGCAAAAGCTGGAAGTAGTCCCTTTGAAAAGCAGCACAAGACAAGGATGCCCTCTCTCACCAATCCTATTCAACATAGTACTGGATGTTCTGGCCAGGGCAATCAGCGAAGAGAAAGCAATAAGTATTCAAATAGGAAGAGAGGAAGTCAAATTCTCTCTGTTTGCAGATGACATGATTGTATATTTAGAAAACCCCCTTGTCTCAGCCCAAAGATTCCTTAAACTGATAAGCAACTTCAGCAAAGTCTGAGGATAAAAAAATCAATGTGCAAAAAACACAAGCATTCCTATACATCAGTAATAGACAAACAGCTAAATCATGAGTGAACTCCCATTCACAATTGCCACAAAGAGAATAAAATACTCAGGAATACAACTTACAAGAGATGTGAAGGACCTCTTCAAGGAGAACTACAAACCACTGCTCAAGGAAATAAGAGAGGACACAAACAAACGGAAAAATATTCCATGCTCATGGATAGGAAGAATCAATATCGTGAAAATGGCCATACAGCCCAAAGTAACTTATAGATTCAATGCTATTCCCATTAATTGACTTTCATCACAGAATTAGAAAAAACTTCTTCAAATTTCATATGGAACCAAAAAGAGCCCATACAGCCAAGACAATCCTAAGCAAAAAGAACAAAGCTGAAGGCACCACGCTACCTGACTTTAAACTATACTACAAGGCTACAGTAACCAAAACAGCACGATACTGGTACCAAAACAGATATATAGACCAATGGAACAGAACAGAGGCCTCAGAAATAACACCACACATCTACAGACATCTGATCTTTGACAAACCTGACAAAAACAAGCAATGGGGAAAGGATTCCCTATTTAATCAATGGTGTTGGGAAAACTGGCTAGCCATATGCAGAAAACTGAAACTGGACCTTTTCCTTACATGCATACAAAAATTAACTCAAGATGGATTAAAGATTTATACATAAGACCAAAACCATAAAAACCCATGAAGAAAACCCAGGCAATACCATTCTGGACATAGGCATTGGCAATGAAACACCAAAAGCAATTGCAATAAAAGCCAAAATTGACAAATGGGATCTGATTAAACTAAAGACCTACTGCACAGCAAAAGAAACTATCATCAGAGTGAACAGGCAACCTACAGAATGGGAGAAAATTTTTGCAATCTATCCATCTGACAAAGGGCTAATATCCAGGATCTACAAAGAATTTAAACAAATTTATAAGAAAAAAACAACCCTATCAAAAAGTGGGCAAAAGATATGAACAGACACTTTCCAAAAGAAGACATTTATGTGGCCCACAAACATATGAAAAAAAGCGCCTCATCACTGGTCATTAGAGAAATGCAAATCAAAACCACAGTGAGATATCATTTCATGCCAGTTAGAATGGTGATCATTAAAAAGTCAGGAAACAACAGATGCTGGAGAGGATGTGGAGAAATAAGAATGCTTTTACACTGTTGGTGGGAGTGTAAATTAGTTCAACCATTGTGGAAGACAGTGTGGCAATTCCTCAAGGATCTAGAACTAGACATACCATTTGACCTGGGGATCCCATTACTGGGGATATACACAAAGGAGGATAAATCATTCTACTATAAAGACGTATGCACACATATGTTTATTGGAGCACTATTCACAATAGCAAGGACTAGGAACCAACCCACACGCCTATCGATGATAGACTGGATAAAGAAAATGTGGCACATATACATTGTGGAATACTATGCAGCCATAAAAAAGATGAGTTCATGTCCTTTGCAGAGACATGGATGAAGCTAGAAACCATCATTCTCAGCAAACTAACACAAAACAGAAAACCACGTGTTCTCACTCATAAGTAGGAGTTGAACAATGAGAAAATATGGGCACAGAGAGGGGAACATCACACACCAGGGCCTGTCGGGGGCTGGTGGGCTAGGGGAGGGATAGCATTAGGAGAAATACCTAATGTAGATGACAGGTTGATGGGTGCAGCAAACCACCATGACACATGTATAGCTATGTAATAAACCTGCATGTTCTGCACATGTATCCCAGAATGAAAAAAATATATATGTGCATGAAATACTACTTAGTGATATCTATGAGACTGGTTTTGCTAGCTATAATAAATAATTCATGTAACATGATGTAATTAACTTTATTTTATACCTGGTAACATTTGTAATTTGCAAATGGATTTAAGCACCTGTTTTAGTATTAGACAGTTTTGAAATGTTTTACAATTTTATTACAAAAGCAATATATGATCACTGAAGAAAAATTAGAAAACAAAGACAAAAATAAAAAAATCCTTAATTTCCTAACACCTAGAGATAATCACATCACAATTCAAAGAATGTCTTTCCAGAACCTTTTCCATGCTAAAATATGTGCACACAAAAATGACTATGTACTTGAAAATTTTTCCTGATAATACATCATTAACAGATTGCCATGTTTATAAACAGAATTAGACTTTTAGAGCTAGAAGAAATCTTAAAATTACTTTAGAAGAGGATAACCAAAAAATGGCCCTACATATCACCACTCCTCCCTTGAATGCCCTTGATATTGCTAAGTCATCACAACGTTTGCTTGTAAAGCTCAGACATAGCCTCAAAATCCTCCTCAACACAATCCTACAGAAAACCACAACCAAAAGATTAATGTCGTCAAGCAAGTTGAAACTAATTAATTTTGACTAACCTAAACTAACAATGAAGAGTCAAATATTTCTGGACCACGGTCATACAATTAACAATATAAACTTCAGGCCCACAATGGCCCTCTGATATTTTAGGAATAACTTGGACACAGATCTCTAAACCCTGGCCCCAGTCTAGCTGGTTGAGCAAATGGTGACTTTCCAGAGCCTTTTCTGTAATGAGGAGAGTAAACATCCCCCCTGCAAATGTGCTTTGAAGTAACTTTTAAAAAGCTAAAATACTGGATTTGTATACGTTTTAAAATATTATTTTATGGAATATACCTCAAAATATTAATGTTAAACACTGAAATTGGAATGAAAATGAGTTTTTAAAAGGCAAAAGTATGAAATAATAATTAAGTATAGCTAAATTTCTATATATTCTTTGTGCTTCTCCACATTTATACAATGTGGCCATTCTGCCTCTACTGTAGCACACTTCCAAGGAACACAAGAACTTTTCTACTTAATATTTTGAATTTTAATTTTTTTTGAGACAAGGTCCCACTCTGTCTCCCAGGCTGGAAGTTCACTGGCATGATCTCAGCTCACTGTAACCTCCCCATCCCAGGTTCAAGCGATTCTCATGCCTCAGCCTCCTACGTGGCTGGAATTACAGGCATGTGCCACCATGCCCGGCTAATTTTTGTATTTTTAGTAGAGACGAGGGTTCACCATATTGCCCAGGCTAGTCTTGAACTCCTGGCCTCAAGTGATCTTCCCACCTCAGCCTCCCAAATTGCTGGGATTACAGACATGAGCCACTGCGGCTGGCCTGTGGCCAGATCTAAATGACCCTTTCCAGACACTTGTTTGTGAAAACCATCTAGGATTCTGAGCTCATGTGAGTCTCATGGTGTGTAGTTTGGAAATCTGACATAGAGGAATACCACCTCTACCCCTGGGTTTGGGGATTCTGGGAGAAGAAAACTATCTGTGCACAATTTAAATCTTCAGATTCCCAGATTCTTAAGGCAGGTAGGTGCCTGTAGCTTTCACTACGCTGTATCTACTGGTGTCTTTCAGACAATCCAGCTTGACATACTGCACTAGCAATGAATTGTAGCCTGGAATGCACATCTTGGAACTGAATTCTACCACTGCTACCAATTCAAGATAATAAATACTGCCCAGTAGAGTCAACACTACATAACAAGCATTTATTCAGCACTTATTTTGTGCCAAGCTTATTTTGTGCCAGCCTCTGTTTTAGGTTCTGAGGCTACAAAGATTAGCCACAGTTCCTAGCCTGAAGGATCTCACAGTGAAATGGGGAAGACAGACATAAACAAGATCATTTTTTCTACTCTGGGCTATTTCTATGTTTCGTACTTATCCCGTGGCTAAAGAAACAAGAGGTAATATTTATAAATCAAATCTGATCATCTAAGTAATAATCTATCTTCCCTTCATAATTTAACAAGTAAATTAGCCAAGTGTGGTGGCTCACGCCTGTAATCCTAGCACTCTGGGAGGCCGAGGCGGGTGGATCACCTGAGGTCAGGAGTTTGAGACCAGCCTGGCCAACGTGGTGAAACCCCATCTCTACTAAAAATACAAAAAATTAGCTGGGTGTGGTGGTGGACACGTGTAATCCCAGCTACTCAGAAGGCTGAGGCAGGAGAATCACTTGAACCCCGGAGGCAGAGGTTGCAGTGAGCTGAGATCACGCCACTGCACTCCAGCCTGGGCAATAAGAGCGAAACTCCGTCTAAAAAAAAAAAAAAAGACCAAGTAAATTGGTGTAAAATAGCAAGTTTTAAAATTTTTTTGTTCTTATTATACTCACAACATGTATTATTCATTTGTTATTATGTTATTTACTTATTATTTATTTTATTTATGACCTAGCTAGATAAAATGTGGACCTGGTAACACTGGTTATTTCAGAGGAGAGGTATTGTCTGCAATGGGCCAGAATGGAAAACCTTCATATTTATTCGCTTTTCTTGTTTGATTTTTACATGAAAATATATTATTTTATAGTTGGGGGGGGAGGGTTGGGGTTTTTTGTTGGGGGCACACAGGGTCCCACTCTGTCATCCAGGCTGGAGTGCAGTGGTGCAATTGAGGCTCACTGCAGCCTTGATCTCCAGGCTCAAGTGATCCTCCCACTTCAGTCTCCCAAGTAGCTGGGACTAAAGACTCATGCAACCATGCCTGGATAATTTTTTAAATTTATTTTTGTCAAGACGAGGTCTCACTATGTTGCCCAGACTGGTCTCAAACTCCTGTCCTCAAGTGATCCTCCCACCTTGGCCTCCCAAAGTGCTGGGATTACAGGCGTGAGCTCCGCACCCACCCCTTTTTTCATAGTTTTAAATAATAAAAGTATTATAAGTAATTTTCATTATTTCAAGAATAGTGTATTTTCTTAAGATCTTTTAAAATCATAAAGCAAACTCTTTAAGAGATTTAGCTAATGCTGAAACTCATGAATTGGTTTTTTTCTTATAAATCAAAACAGGCCTCCCCCACTCCCAGCATGTAGCATAGTAAGCATGTTTTGTGGTGATTTAACTATTTCTACAGTGCCAAATAGGTGTTAGAAATAGAAAAAGGTTTGACATATGTTTCTAACAACTTGTTAAAAGGGTTTTGTTGTACTGGACAGGCCATCTTTAATCATGCAGATAGTTTGTGGAGCTCATCCTATTCCAGGCAACTTCTTGAGGTTCATCTGAGTCCATGTCATCTCTAAGGGGCACAAAACTAGATGAAAAGCTGCAGTTGCATCTGATAGTGTCCTGATATACTGAGGACAAAAGCTCAATAGAATCATATAAAGTTATTGTACGGTGAGCAGCACTATCCTCCCATACTCTCCTTTTATTCATGTTTTTACAGGCTAATACTGGATACATCAAACCCTCAATATAAATGGGATACCAGAACAACAACAGCAATAAAAAATTAATAACAATGATAATAATGATAATACTGTATTCCTTACATGCAGAAAATATTGTGGATGACAGTAAAACAACTATAAGGTAGCTGGAAGAGGTAAAAAGATTGAGTGTGGAAATAAAAAGTTAAGAAAGGAATTTTTTTAAAGGTTTTAGCTTTATAACAGAAACAATACTGATACACATTTATAATCCACAAGGCGTAAGGCATCTAGATGGCTTATAGTATTTTTCCCCAACTTTTCACTGAGTCTGTGTGTGTGTGTATTTTTTATTTTCATAAGATACACATAACATAAAATGTACCATTTTCACCATTTTTAAGTGTAGGATTCAGTGGCATTAAGTACCTATACAACGTTGTGCAACCATTACAATTATTCATTTCCCAATCTTTCCCATTATTCCAAAGAGAAACTCTGTACCCGTAAATAATAACTTTCCATTCCCTTCTCCCCTCAGCCCCTGGTAATCACTATTCTACCTTCTGTCTCTATGAATTTGATTATTCTAAGTACCTCATGTCAGTGAAATCATACAATATTTGTCCTCCTGTGTCTGGCTGATTTCACTTAGCATGACGTCTGCAAGGTTGGTTCATGTAGCATTTTTAAGTACTTCATTCCTTTTAACTCGGAATAATATTCCGTTGTACATATATACCACATTTTGTTTATCCATTTGTCTGCTGATGGACATCTGGGTTGTTTCTACCTTTTGGCTATTATAACTAATGCTGCTATACATTTTTATTTTTATTTATATATCTATTTATTTATTTCGAGAGACAGGGTTTCACTCTGTCACCCAGGCTAGAATGCAGTGGTGGGATCGTAGCTTACTGCAACCTGGAACTTCCAGGTTCAAGGTCAATCCTTTGGCCTCAGCCTCCCATGTAGCTGAGACCACAAGTGTGCACCATCACACCCAACTAATTTTTAAATTTTTTGTAAAGACCCCCTATGTTTCCCAGGGTGTCTTGAACTCCAAAGCTCAAGAGATCCTCCTGCCTTGGCCTCCCAAAGCACTGGGATTATGGCCTATAAATGTTTATAACACTGCTGGGTAGCTGTTTCCTGCTACTTCATTCTCAAGTTACAGGACTTTGATGAGCGCATACATTAACTTCCTAGTGGTTTATTGTGTTTTTGCCAGGAGTGTTTGTAGGAGGGCACTAAGGAACCCACAAATTCAGAGGCTTTGACTAATGACGTTAACGCCTAGTGAAAGACAGAACTCTCCTAGGCTGAAAGAACACTGAATTTATATATAACTTAATAGGTATTATTAGTATATTTAAAGAAAGAATGTGTCGAGATTTGGAAGTGGCTTGTATAAAAGTGTAGAAAAAGTTGAAGTGGAAGATGCAATTTGAAGTTAGAGAACCTTGATATGCAGACTGTAAATTATAAGTCACTGGAACAGACACATGCATTTTGGAGACAGACACAGAAAATGATTACAGCATGATAATGCATATTTAACTAAACAGACAAAAAGGCCAAATTATAAACTTTTTAAACAAGTCTTTCCAATAATCTGCTTGATGGTCATGCCTCATCATTTCCTCCTAGCTCCCAGAACTTTTTTGTTCAGAGTTTAACGTAATAATTAGCTGTACAATTATTTGTTTAATGTTTCGCTCAATGAGGATAGGGATAATGGTTGTCTTTTGCATAGTGCCTGCTACATATAAACATGAGTCTCTTGTAAGTTTGGTTGCTCTAATACATTCAGATCACAACCTTGAAATTACGTGCCAATACCTGGAAAGTTAAAGCTGTCAACTCTAGGTAATCCACCAAAATAAAATTGTGTTATAGTAAAGTCAATCAAGCAGCCTTTCCTGGTAGACTTTCCAGCACGTTGGGCTTCTCTCAAACTCCAGCAGAACTCAGGATTGCTCAAGATAGGAAGATACAAAGATATGAAAGAAATTTTCATTGATATTCCAAAATGATCTCTGTGGAAATGTGCACAAGCACTTCATTTACTATAATGATTCCTTCCTAGCAAGATATTTCAAGATTTTAACCATTTTATCTAAAGTGGAAACTAAAATATAGATAGAATAATGCAAAACAAAAGTACAACATAGTTGGCAGGGCTCAGTGGCTCACGCCGATAATCCCAGCATTTTGGGAGGCCGAGGCAGGTGAATCACCTGAGGTCAGGAGTTCGACACCAGCCTGGCCAACATGGTGAAAACCAATCTCTACTAAAAATACAAAAAGTTAGCCAGGCATAGAGGCACACACCTGTAATCCCAGTTACTCAGGAGGCTAAGGCACGAGAATGCTTGAACCCAGGAGGCAGAGGTTGCAGTGAGCCGAGATAGTGTCACTGCACTCCAGCCTGGGAAACAGAGTGAGACGCCGTCTCAAAAAAAGAAAAGAAAAGAAAAAAAAAGTACAACATAGTTAATAGTTTTTTTAATGACTAATTTACCTTTTCACTCAGATTTTTCAACCAACTTAGAAACGATGATAATAGGGATGAGAAATTTACCCAAAGAAAAAACAGAGAATCCAAACAAAAAACAGAATACTTTGCTTGTTCTCAGAAAGTAGCAATGGCAGCTGGAGGAATAGAACTCATATGTCCTGGATTTCCAGTTTCAGGACTTTTCTTCCTCAAAGAAAGACTGTTTTGTGAACATGAAAGTGACCTGACTGAGCTATTTTCCAGTGCCAGCCATATTCCATATAGCAGAAATAAGCTTTGCTAAGCAACTCCCTCTATTAAGGTGCTGCTTCTCTCATTTGGCCTCCCAGAAAACCCATATCCTAACTCCACTGTTCAAATAAGACCCATCAGTTCAGATGCTGTCAATAACAGTACTGGACCTTCAGAGCTCTTTAATGAAGAGTTTTATGAGAATTAAACAAAAGTACTTTAGAATGACTTTTTTTTTAATAGTGGAGGAAGAAGCAGGTATGGTTTTCTACACAGTTAACATGAGCAAAATTCTCGCAGCATTCGATAAGTTGCTGTTGGTAATCTTAAATTTCTTTTCTTGAGGGACTGTGGAAAACCTCTGGCCAAGTGTAGCTTGGAAAAGGATGGCTATAATCTGAACTTTTCTTCTTGTAGCTCTAGCTAATGCTCTTTTGCATGTCCCACATGGTTCCCACACCTATATTTCATATTCTGATATCTGGGTTCTTATTTCCTTTAGAAATTTTCTTAGGCTGTCTTGCATAACAGCAAATATTTACAAAAAGTTTACCTTGTACCAGACGCCTGCTCTAAGCATTTATATGTCTCACAACAAACCTTATGAGATGGGTACCATTATAATTGCATTATACAGATAAGGAAAATCAGGCACAGAGAGGTTAAGAAATTTTCCAAAGTCATATAGTTAGTATGTGGCAGAAATTAGGGATTCAAACTCCATGCAGTTAACTACTATTCCATATTGCTTTTCTAAGTACCAGGTACTTGATCACAGAATTCTTAAGGCTCACTTTCACCAGCATGCTCAGAAAAAAGCCTATTTCTATTACCTTCCCTTTTTATTTCCTATGCTGTTTGGCACAGAAACTCCAAATTCGTTTGAGTTGCAAGAGAGCAATGAGAGATGGTAAGAAAGACTACACAGATACTATCTCTGTTATATCGAGATATATGTGATTTTGCACATACAAAGATGCTTGCAGTTGCCTTAAACCTACTATTTTTTTGTGCCTGTAATTTTTAGGACATCCTGAGCTGACTGAAATTACAATTCTATTAAAGTGTCAGGAAATTAAAGCATGTAAAACATCATAAATATTCCCCCTAATATTATAATTACACCATGCTCTTCCTTTAGCAAGTTACTGTTTATTTTTTAAAAAAATATTCTTGGCCGGGCACGGTGGCTCAAGCCTGTAATCCCAGCACTTTGGGAGGCCAAGGCAGGTGGATCACCTGAGGTTAGGAGTTCGAGACCAGCCTGGTCAACATGGTGAAACCTCGTCTCTACTAAAAATAAAAAAATTAGCCAGGCGTGGTGGCATGTGTGCTTGTAATCCCAGCTACTTGGAAGGCTGAGACAGGAGAATCACTTGAACCTGGGAGGTGGAGGTTGCAGTGAGCTGAGATCATGCCACTGCACTCCAGCCTGGGCAACAGAGCAAGACTCTGTCTCAAAATAAACTAAAATAAAATAAAAAATTCTCTTTCATTGATATTTAATGGATTATGCATTCCTAATCAGAAAAAAAATGAAACTACTTCCATTTTGAAAAATATGTATAGTAAATCCTGGAGAAAAAAAAATTGTGTCACCTATTTCCTTGTTTTTCCACAAATTAAAATCAGGCCATATATATATATAATGGATGCCATTTCTCAATGGAGAATAGATTCACTTTCCAGGATTAAAAAACAAACAAACAAACCACACACACACAACTCAACTACATGGCAATATTCATTGTGTGAATGTCAACACTAGATTTCCTTGACACTAAATTTTCTTGCAACTATTAATATAACTATTAATAAAAAGATAATACTTACTGACAAGACCTTACATTTCTTTTGTTGAAAATATCACAGTTGATTAAAAATGTTGAAATTTTTTATCTTATGCAAACATATTTTATTGCTGTGCAAGATTGCCCTCTTGTGTTTTCTCTAGTTAAGTCATTATTTTTTATTGATTTAATATTAGCTTTTAACTTTTCCATCTAAAATTAACTCATTACTAAATGAATTTCAAAGCCTTTTATTCCAAACCACACAGATCAGAAGTTAATATTAGTGTTATGGTTTGTGGTATATAGTGTACCTTTTTAAATATATGAACTAACTTATAAAATACTACGGCCTAAGGGTAAGAAAAAGCAGAGTCAAACAGAAGTAAATACATAAAGAAAAATTTAGAATAATGTCAAGGAATTCTAAAGCCCTGATACTAACTTCCTACATTAATGATACAGCCAATTAGTCTATTAGTATAGGTCTAGCTTAATATCTTTGCGGTCTATTTCTTCCTTTGCTTATTTAATTACTATAGGTATATAAAAACACAATAACATTCTTTATTGTTTTGAAATTTTTTCCTTGTGTATTAAATTAGCATTTTTCTTTTAAATATTGCCTAACTAAAACAAGTATTCTCATATGTTGTTAGTGGAAATGTAAATTTGGTACACTCTCTTTGTAAATTAAATCAGCAGTATATATTAAGAACCTTAAAAAATAATTAGGGGCCGGGCATGGTAGCTCACGCCTGTAATCCCGCCACTTTGGGAGACCAAGGCATGTGGATCACATGAAGCCAGCAGTTCGAGACCAGCCTGGCCAACATGGCGAAACCTCGTCTCTACTAAAAATACAAAAATTAGCCGGGTGTGGTAGCACGTGCCTGTAATCCCAGCTACTCAGGAGGCAGAGTCAGGAGAATCGCTTGAACCCTGGACGCAGAGGCTGCAGTGAGCCAAGATCACACCACTGTACTCCAGCCTGGATAAGAGACAAGACCCTGTCTCAAAAAAAAAAAAACCAGGTTTGCTTCTAGGAATTTTTATTATTATTATTATTATTATTATTATTATTATTATTGAGACAAAGTCTCGCTCTGTTGCCAGGCTAGAATGCAGTGGTGTGATCTCCACTCATTGCAACCTCCACCTCCCAGGTTCAAGCAATTCTCCTGCCTCAACCTCCCAAGCAGCTGGGACTACAGGTGCACGCCACCATGCCCAGTGAATTTTTTAATTTTTAGTAGAGACGTGGTTTCACCATGTTGGCCAGGATGGTCTTGATCTCTTGATCTCATGATCCGCCCGCCTCAGCCTCCCAAAGTGCTGGGATTACAAGGCATGAGCCACCACACCCGGCACTTCTAGGAGTTATCTTAAGAGCATAATCCTAAGCATTCAAATAATTTTATGCCTAAACTGCTCATCATAGCATTATTTATAGTGCAAACATTAAATAAACATTATAGTGCTGCTTTCCCTTCTGACACTTTATTATTTGGAGGAAGAACAAAATAGAGCTAGGCGATGAATTCCTTCACCATAACCTAAGCATGGTCCTGTGTTAGATTAGATTGGAATGCAATCATACAGTGAAATCTTTTGCAATGAATAGAATTTTAAGGTAATATTTAAAATAACACAAACTTTTAAAGTGCTATGATGTTAAGTTTAGAAAAATCAGGATATAAATGTGTAGGTATATGTGTATGTGTGTGTGTGTATCGTAGTAATCTAAAAGTAATCCTCCTGAAACTACACACAAAGACTAAAATGTAATGTTTCAAAATATTACTAGTGGTTGTCCTTTGGTTGTGGTATTATGTTGGGTTTTTCTTCATTTTTCACTTGTCTACATTTTCCATGTTTTTATGTTGAACATGTATTACTATTATAATAGATGAAATTCCCATGTTCTTATATTGGCAGAATTGAGGTACTGCTCCTCTTTATACAGATCAGGAATTCTGTGGGCTGTACAAGCTCAGAAAACTTCTCTAAAGAAAACCAAAGCTTCAGGCTGGGCCTAGCCAGGGCTCACGCCTATAATCCCAGCACTTTGGGAGTCCGAGTCAGGAGGATGAGGAGTTCAAGACCAGCCTGGGCAATGTAGTGAGACCCTGTTTCTACAAAAAATTACAAAATTAGCTCAGCATGGTGGTGCACACCTGTGGTCCTAGCTACTTGAAAGGCTAAGGTGGAAGGATCACTTGAGCCTTGGAGATTGAGGCTGCAGTGAGTCATGATTGTGCCACTGCACTCTAGTCAGCGTGACTGGGTGACACAGTGAGACCATTTCGAAATAAAGAAAGAAAGAAAGAGAGAGAGAGAGAAAGAAAGAAAGGAAGGAAGGAAGGAAGGAAGGAAGGAAGGAAGGAAGGAAGGAAGGAAGGAAGGAAGGAGAAAGAAGAAAGAAAGAGAAAGAGGAAGAAGGAAAGAAAGGAAGGAAGGAGAAAAGGGAAAGGAAAGGGAAGGCAAGGAAGCTTCAGCAATTAGCTCAGATACAGCATCCAATTGAATGGCTGTAGATAAGTGGGGTGCCCCTACCCCGCTAAAAGAATGGGGAAGGTCCTTTCCTTCCTGATACTTTCCCTCTTAATACTTTTTTTTTGGACAAAGAGCAAAATAGAGTTAGGTGATGGATTCCTTCACCAAACAAGTAAAAGAGCAAACAAAGCAACCATTTATTAAGTACTTAATGCATGCTAGGTTGGTTGAAAAGGGTCAGAAGCTAAATGTGATGCGAGGCTGAACAAAAAGAAGGATGATTACAGAACTTAAGCCATCTTGTAGGACCTCAGCTTACAGCTGAAGAATTGGTTTTACTTACTGCCTGCAATTTTGCAACAATCCTTCTTTCCCTTATCTCTCATCCCCACTGCCAACAGCAATCCCTTTTCCAGACTGCAGCAAGAATGATCTTTTCAAAGAGCAAATCTTCAACAGATTCCAAGGGTACCTTGGGATAAAATTTAACCCCCTTGGGGTGGCTGACAAGGCCCTTTGTGATCTGGTTTCAGCTCTCTCATCTTACAGGCATTCTGATCTTCCCAGGCTTCATTTCTGATATTCCAGCTTGGAATGACCTCCCCTGTCTTGTTTGTCTAGCTAACTTCTGCTTACCCTACATGTCTCAGATTAAATATTGCCTTCATTGGGAAACCTTAGCTGCCCTTGCCATGTGCATCCATTGTAGTCACTACTTTCTCTATCATAGCCCTTTCTGAATGTTACTTAAATCTCTGGTTTAATTGTCCTTCTCCTCATTGTGACTAGGATCTGTGATGGCAAGTGCCAAGTCTGTCCTGTTCCTCATGGTACCTATACTGCCTAGCAGGCGAGCAGCTATTGTTCATTGAATGAATGAATAAGTGGGTGATTAAGTGAGTTAATCTGACCATATTTAACTTCTCAAAAACTTTCTTTCTTTGAAGAGGTACTCTAATTGATGCAAGTGCATACCAAACTAAAGATGATATACATTGTGGGATGGTGGTAGTCTTGGGGATACTGTGAGTACTTCATTCAGCACTGAAGTCCTAAATCCTGTTCCTTGTTCATGGATACATAGTAGTCCCCCTCTATCCACGGTTTCACTTTCCATGGTTTCAGTCAATCACAATGTGAAAATATTAAATGCAAAATTCCAGAAATAAGCAGTTCATAAATTTTAGGATGCACACTGTTCTGAGTCACATGATGATATCTTACACCATCCCACTCTGTCCCACTCAGGATGTGAATCATCCCTTTGTCCAGCATATCCGTGCTGTTTGTGCTACATGTCTGTTAGTCACTCAGTAGCCAGCTAGGTTGTCAGATTGCAAAAAGAGTATATATAGCACACTATCCATGGTTTCAGGCATCCCCTGGGGACTTTGGAACACACCCCCTGCAGATAAGGGGGGGCTACTAATTGCATATGTGTGTATAGACTTTAAGGATTTCTGAAATTAGTTTTTCAAGTCCCTGTGGGAAAAAATAAACATCGTGATACATTGATGGATTGTTTTTAATCCTGAAAAAAAAGGCCTCTTCATCTAACAATAGGGGATATTCATTAAATGTTCATAAAAAATCTTTACAGACACCAGAAAACATTTGTATAATATTAAGGTTTTTAAAAGTACACAAATTACATGTGCAGAAAAAGCTGATCTCTCCTATATAAAAAGAAATGTACATCTATTTACATAATAAAAAGATTGGAAGTACATAAAAGTGTGTATTGTAATTATTTCTGAGGGTCATCTTGTGTAAAATACTTTTCTTTTTTACACTTTTCAGTGTTTCTCTGTATGAGCATGTAATACTTTTGTTAAAATACCAAGAGTTATATAAAAAAAAAATAATAAGATGAATTCCTTGATATGTAGGCAGCAGTTTCAAAAAATGTTTTAAGACTAAAGAATAGCCTAGAGGCAGTTAACCAATTGCAGTTACTTGAAGTGAATGAGGGGAGAGGCTAACTTGGGCTGGACCATAGAATTAACTCTTGAAATAGGCCATAAGCAGTAGTTCAGACAGCTGGTCAGGGAATGTCCCTCACCTTTACCACCTATCTCAATAGATCTAGGAAGTGGCTTTTTCTTTGCTTAACAATAGGTCCAGTGATAAGCAGAACTGCCCTCCTTCAAAGCTCCCTGAAGTGCAAAAAGACTAAGGAAGATCAAAGGAACCATTAGGCACTCCCTGAATTTCAAAGGTTTCTCCTATGGGAACTCTGAGAAGCAGCTGTGTGTTTGTACATTACATAGAAACTTCCATTACTGTGCATAAATATAACATGACAAATATCTTGGTCACTTTATCCTTTCCACTTCCTTACTATGGTTGCATTTTTGGGTTGACAGTTTTGTAAACACATTAAAATGAGGAACACATCAAAATATATTAGGAATGGAGATCTACATTCCTAATAGTAAGCACTATCCTATTCTTAGCATATCATGTTTGTCCTTTCTGAGCCTAGTTTTTAAAAGTCTTTGTTTCTATATTTTCTCACTCAGAGACAAAATAATGAAATAAACATTTTGTTTCACATAACTTGTGTTTTAATGCAATATTCAGGCATTACAAAATCATTTTCCTTTCCTGGACTGGCTTCACAGAATCAGTCCCCATAATGATGGAAAATGTCCCTTCACCAAAACATGTGATGCACGATGTAGTGAGCTAAAGCCAAAATAATTCAGTCAACCGTGTGTATGTAGACTGTTGTATTGTTATTGAACGCATTGCCTCAAAGTGTTCATTTTAATAATAAAAAATGCATCTGGGGCCGGGCGCGGTGGCTCATGCCTGTAATCCCAGCACTTTGGGAGGCCAAGGCAGGTGTATTGCTTGAGCTCAGGAGTTCGAGACCAGCCTGGCCAACATGGTGAAACTTCGTCTCTATCAAAAATGTAAAAAATTAGCCAGGTGTGGTGGCGCATGCCTGTGGTCCCAGCTACGGAGCAGGCTGAGGTGGGAGAATCACCTGAGCCTGGGAGGTGGAGGTTGCAGTGAGCTGAGATTGTGCCACTGCACTCCAGCCTGGGTGACAGAGCAAAACCCCTGTCTCAAATAATAATAATGATAATAATAATAATAAGAAGAAGAAGAAGAAGAAGAAGAAGAAGAAGAAGCATCTGTGATTATTTTAAGTAAAATAATCTTAAGACCCAAGTATATCATATATAAGATGAGAAGTTCTATATAAGTAAACTTAGTTAAAGGTATATACACCAAGAGTGAGATCTACATTCTGAAAAGGTATAGAACAAGATCAATCTTTCATTCTTGTATTCAAAATAATGTATTATGTATATACCAATAAAAAGAGGAATAAGACATAATTCCTACCCTTAAAAGACTTCTAGAAGAAGCAACAGAAAAACAACGATCACAGAAGTCTGCAGCACTCACAGAGTAGGTAGAAGCCAGTTTTGCGAGAGGTGGGGAGGTGTGTGTGGTGTGTGTGTGTGTGACAGAGAGAGAAAGAGAAGAGAGGGAAGGGGGGTGCATTATGAGGGGTGATGATTCCAGGGACCATCAGCACAGACACAGAGGCCAGAAATCATCTTGTACATTTTGGCAAGTGCAAGTTACTTGGTTCAAAGGTCATTCATTTATATACACAATAATTATTAATTGAATATTTTGGGTTGAAGCTGTGAATGGCAAGAAGTAACTGCTGCTTCAAGGTAAGATCACCAAAAGGGCTTTGTTTATGTAGTGAACATAAGTGGTTGCCTTAACAGCATCCACTCCACATTCTTCTTCCTAACACAAACCCAATTTTGTTTAGTATACATCCCTTTTCCACACACCCATACACCTCCAAGGAAGCTCACCTCACTCTTAATCTCCTTCCAGTGATTGACTCAGAAATAGCATGTGATATATTCTAACCAAGAACATAGCCAGAGAAGTTGGTTAGAGGTTTCTGGAAAAGTAAATCTGCGAGTTACTGAAAGCCTCTCCCTTCCTCTTACTGGGCATGAATAAAGAAGCACTTAGCCCCAAACACTTTTGGCAGCCATATTATAACAATGAAGGAAATCAGCATTAGGATGGAGCTGATTCTGTGAATGGAAGGAGAGAGACAGAAACTTGGGTTCACAATGATATCATGAAACAACTAATCCCGAACCTCGCTCTGCCTCTGACTGTCTCATTTCCTTATTTTTTTTTAAAGCCAGATTGAGCTTGTGGCCAAAGCACCCTAACCAAAGTTTAGATTTGATTATTAGGCTATGGGAGTCTCTGAAGAGATTTAAGCCAGGGAGTGACAAAATAGGTTTGTATTTTGTAAGGGTGGCAGTGGTAGAAATGTTGAGGATGGATGGGTGGGATGGGAGATCAGCTAACATTTACGGGGGCTTCCTATATTCTCTGTATTAAACACTTTACATATAATAATTCATTTTACCCTTCCAAAACCCTACAAGGCATGTAATATTATCCATATCCGATATGAGGAATCTGAAGCCCAGACACATTAAGTTGTCAACACCACACAGCCAGTAATTGGCAGAGCCAGGATCTGAACTCCAATTTTACTTAGATACTCCTTCATCCCCCAGCCACATACATCAGGAGAAGCTCACCTCATACTCAATCTCAGACAGGCCTGATTGACATAAGAGTAAATCCAGCCCCTTTCCAGTGTCTGGCTCAGGAATAGGCCAGTGATCCAATTCTGGTCTGGCTTCTGACCACCAATTCATAGGGTTATCATAAGAACTAAATGAGCTATTATTTATAACATGCTTAATACATGGGAAGACCACAATAAATGGTAGCTATTGTTATTATTAAAAGCTTCTATTATCAAGAACAACTGAGAAAGAATGTCCAAAGGAGGGCAAGAGAGAGTGGAGAAGCCAAGGGAAGAGTTTCTGGAAGGACACAGCAGGATGAAATGCCACGATGGAATAAAGTGATGTGAGAACTGGAAGAGTCTAGTTAGGACATAACAGGTGATTTTTTGCCAGAGTGTTGTTTGAAGAAGGGCTGAGATTGAAGCCAACCCACCAATGAAGAGTGAACCTGCACCTGAGTAGAGACAGTGGATACCTATTGCAGATTAGGAGTTTGTGGTGAAAAGGAGGCAGGAAAAGGATGGTAGTGGGAGAAATCTCTAAATGGGGCATGTTTATAAACTTTGAGGCAGTAGCTAGCAAAGGTAACATGGAAAATTCAGGAGAGAGAAACAATGATGGGACAGGTTCTAAAGGAGCCTGAAAGAGAAAGCATCAAGCCCACAGGTAGAGGGAGGTATTAGTCATGAAGAATTGATCCATCTTCCACCCTCTTAAGACTGGGAGGGAGGAGGTAAGGGTAAGTTCAGATACAGATGAACTTATAGGTATGGCAGTAGAAGGCACACCTATGAAATAGTTCACTTTTCTTAGTGAAATGGAGGCAGGGTTATCTGCTGAGAGTGTGAAGCAAGTAGTGGTTGAGGACAGTTGCTGTTGGATGAAGCTGGCCTTGGAGACAGGTTAAAACAATTCTAGACAGCTGAAGGCATAGCTAAATTAGAGACCAAAAATTTTTTGGCTCTAATATGTAGGAATATATGATTCTCTCCAACATGTCTCACCAGCCCAGGTGTATCTGTGAGAATCACCCTGACCATGTCTTCAGGCAGGTCATGAAGAGTTAGTGTGAGGTTGAAAATAATGGAAATGGGGACCATTTGACCACAACCCTCTCTGGTTCTTCATAGTCCTCTGAGGCCTCAGTTCTACAAACAAAATTGATGCCTACCTACAATTGGTACTGCCATCCACTACTGGCAAGGGGAAAGAAGTTTAAAGAACAGACTGTCATTCCCCAAATTCGAAGGGAAGAATCAAATTGTTAGTCTTTTACCTGGGCATCTCAGAGTGTTCTAAGATTACAGGTAATACAACAATATACTAATATTCATCCTTTGGTTAAGTTCTTCAGCTCTCAAATTTGATGTATGTTCTTTCTTTCATTCAAGATGAAACAAAGTTAAGGACATTCATTTTCAGGGCTTTATGTATAATAGATAGGATTAGTGGGATTAAGAACCACATGACATGTAAAATAAAACTACACAAATATTTAAATTATTTAGTATGTGTGCCTATGGCACATAACAATGTCATCCTGCTGTGTCAAGGGAACTTAAAGCATCTTTCCATTATTCATTCCCACAGTTACCTTTCAGGTAGGTACACAGCTAGGTTTTCTCTCTAAACCTAGCCAATAAGAGAAAAATGCCTCACTGTTAGAAAGAATTAAATAGAAATTTTTCTCCTTCCAAGCTGATTTCAATAAATTGCTTCAGGATGTTGTTTTAAAATTGCTATTGGTTATTTTAATTGATTTAATGAGAAGCTTTTTTTTCTTCTAAAAAATTAAGGCATGTTCTCTTCTTCCTCAAAAGAGAACAACAATAGTAAAAAAAAAAAAAAAAGAAAAAAAAAGAAAAGAAAAAATGGCTGTTGCTTCATAGGATATTACAAAACAATGAAAATATCAACTAACCACACAGAAGAGTATCACTGCTACACTCACCTTGCTCTGAGCCCATTCTTTCCTATGAAGTATTGCTCATGGAGGTAGTTGTTTTTTCAGAGTCTCATAATAGTAAATATGTCTAAAGCATTAGAGTGAACTAATCCTATTTCTATGCCTAAAATAGTGCTATCATCCTATCAAGTAAACATGAATCAAATAGAAAAGATTTCATAAGTTATAAAGGCAATTTTTTTTAGAGATGTCATCTGATTTAGAAGGCCAACATTGTAATTTTAATACTGGGATATAAAGAAAAATCACTGGGGCTGAGACATTAGAATTACCCCACTAGTTATTGAGGAGGTCAGAATTTACTTTGTCATTATAAGCATTCTAGGTTACTGAATGAGAGACTGGTGTACTTCAGTCAAAAAGCTTAACAATTTCCCTTTTATGTGTTTGATATGTGAATACAAAGTGACTAACATTTACTCCCTGGCCTCAAGAAGGTCCTTACAACTCTTGACTTTCTGAAAACCACTTTGAGACAACATCTGGTCAGCTCCTCAGTGTGACAGAGCTCAATGCCAAGTTGCAACACAGAAAGAACAGGAAGGCCTGCTGCCATTCATTCACTACAGTGAAGGTACATGCTTTTTAGGAAGGGCTTACATTTAAAAGTAAATTACTGAGAGGTATTTTTCTAAGTAAAATTCACCCTTAAACATCTCTTATGGAATTATCTGGTGCCTCTTGGGCCAGTTTTTCCACCATGATTTGAACAGATCATTGTTTCATTGGCTGACTACCCAGGTTACACTTAGAAACTTTGAAAAACATGTATCTTTAAACAATGTATGCACATTTGGAAACATGGTTTTGTTTTGTGCTTTTTAAAAGACAGAAAAGGGATCACGCTGTACTTATACATCTCATTTATATCCCCCACACATCAAGGTGTTTAGGAGGTTTTCAATGTATCTGTAGCAAGTTATACATTCTGAAAATGGCCACAGCAATATTTCTGGTCCCATATGCTCTTTGAGAACCTTGCCTCTCTCCACCAAGAGTAGAGTCTATTTCCCCTCCTGTCAAAACTGGATATAATTTTGTGTCTGCCTAGATACAATGCAGCAGAACTGACACTACATAACTTGTTTTTTGTTTCTTTTTGATGAGAGGGAGTCTCCCTGTGTTGCCCAGGCTGGAGTGCAGTGGCGCAATCTCGGCTTACTGCAACCTCCGCCTCCCGGGTTCAAGTGATTCTCCTCAGCCTCCTGAGTAGCTGGGACTACAGGCATGAGCTACCACGCCCGGCTAATTTTTGTATTTTTCGGCAGAGATGAGGTTTCACTGTGTTGGCCAGGCTGGTCTCGAACTCCTGGCCTCAAGAGATCCTCCCGCCTGGGCCTCCCAAAATGCCAGGATTACAGGCGTGAGGCACCGCACCTGGCTAGAGACTACATGACTTCTAAGGCTAGGTTATAATGGGTAATATGCTTCTGATTGACTTTCTCGCACGATACTTGCCGTGGAACCCAGCCACCAGGCTGTGACAAAGCCCAAACCAATCAATGCTAAAAGACCACCGGGAGAGGTCTACATGGACTAGAACTGAGGCCTCCAGCCTTTATCCTGCATCAACCATCAGCGGTGAAAGTGAAGTTTTCAAATAATTCTACTCCTCAGCCTTAGAGTCTTCCAACTGAAGCTCTACGCATAATGGAGTAGAGAAAAGCCATCCCAGTTGTGCTCTGTCTGGATTTCAGAGGCACAGAATCTGCGAGCATAATAAATACTTTATACATAGAGTTTAGATTACGGCAAAAAGTTGCAAACGTGTTCCGTCATAGAATTATATATTGAAAACGTCCATCTGCGGCACACCAGACCAGCTCTATAAATCAGGTTTTTAACAAAACCGAATTTGTTCAGTGAGCGGGTGAGTTACACTACCTGTCTCAGCTCAGACCTGCCGGGAGTCAATTGTGGACTAGAGCAGAAGGCGCCCAGCCACAAGCTCAAGTTCTATCCCCTTTGCACTCGATAGGCAGATCCCCTGGGAGGATCAGGCCACCTGTTTACCAGTGCTTCCTAACCTATTTGTGTCACAAGTTTAGGAGTGTGCTTCTTAGCCCTGGTCACTCTCTTTCACCACCTCTCTCTAACCCTTCCCCAGGTGTGCTAGCAATTGCCCAACACCTGTCAGTCACTTTTGCCTCCAATTTTACTGGGTGCGAGGAGCAGAGTAAGGAGGGAGAGGAAGAGGGCTGACTCCCTTGCCTCAAAGTGGCAAGGGCCAGCTGAACTTAATTCACACTGCAAACCACCACGTTTCGACAGCCATCCCCATATTTTCACAGCTCAAATCTTCCTTTCTTTTTCGGTCGGCTTCTCTGATTTGCTCCATTTTTAATCGCTCCTCCCCCATCCTCCTTGCCCCTGGTCAGGGCAAACATTAAACGCTGTGCAGCTTTAAAAGGGCATTTTTAGGTGACTTGTAAACGGCTTGTTCCACAGGCCCCGAATTGGCGAGATTCGCTACAGCTCGGAGTGCGCGGTAGACTTTAAGCAGGGAGCGCCTGCCCGGTCCATCCCTCCCCGGCCCCGCGTGGCAAGCACCGCAGGTTGAGGCGCCCCCAAACCGAGGAAGAGGGTTTGGGAGCCTGTGACTCCAAAGCCCTCTGCAACTTCCCGGCCCCACAGCCCCACCCACTAGCACGCGGCCTTCCCCGCAGCCCGCAGGAGACACCTTTGTCCCCGCCCCTCCACAGGTCACCTCCCTCCACGCCCCTCTCTCTTGGCCCGGGCAGCCGGCAGGCAGGGAAGTGTCGTAAAGCCAGGCCCAGGAAACTTTACCCGGCCTAACAGCTGAGGCGCTTTACGGCGACGGCGGCTGAGTGAGAACCTTGGCGGCTGTGGAGGCTGCCGCGGCTGCGAAGGAGGCGGCGGCGGTGGCGGAGGAAGAGGAGTGGCGGCAGCGGCGGCGGGGACCCGTGCGGGGTGAGCCGTGAGGAGGGGCCGCGAGTGACAGGGCTGGCGGGTGGGCCCGGGCGGACGGGGACGGTGGCCGGCTGAGCAGCTGGGCGGCGCTGAAGAGCGGGGGGGTGGCGGGGAATTGGGGGGCAGCTCCGTGAGGGACGGTTTCTGCCTTTGTTCCCCCCACCTCGGCCGCCCCCCATCCGTCGCCCCCTGTTCTCCGCGCTCCTCGGCCGGGTTTCATGGCCTCCCCTCTCGGTCTGTGTCGCTTCTAGGATGGCGGAGGTACCGCCTGGGCCTAGCAGCCTCCTCCCACCACCAGCACCTCCGGCCCCGGCGGCGGTCGAGCCCCGCTGTCCCTTCCCGGCGGGGGCCGCCCTCGCCTGCTGCAGCGAGGACGAGGAGGACGACGAAGAGCACGAAGGCGGCGGCAGCAGGAGCCCGGCGGGCGGAGAGTCGGCGACGGTGGCGGCCAAGGGGCATCCGTGCCTCCGCTGCCCTCAGCCGCCGCAGGAGCAGCAGCAGCTCAACGGATTGATTAGCCCCGAACTGCGGCACCTCCGGGCGGCCGCCTCCCTCAAGAGCAAGGTCCTGAGCGTAGCAGAGGTGGCCGCGACCACAGCCACCCCTGACGGAGGCCCCAGAGCGACTGCAACAAAAGGAGCCGGGGTACACTCGGGCGAGAGGCCCCCTCACTCCCTCTCTAGTAATGCAAGAACTGCGGTCCCCAGCCCGGTGGAGGCAGCGGCGGCGAGCGATCCCGCGGCGGCCCGCAATGGACTGGCCGAGGGCACCGAGCAGGAGGAGGAGGAGGAAGACGAGCAGGTGCGGCTGCTGTCTTCGTCCCTGACCGCCGACTGCAGCTTAAGAAGCCCTTCGGGCAGGGAGGTTGAGCCTGGGGAGGATCGGACGATACGATATGTCCGATATGAATCCGAGCTACAAATGCCCGATATCATGAGACTGATCACCAAAGATCTGTCCGAACCCTACTCCATTTATACCTATAGATATTTTATCCACAACTGGCCACAGCTGTGCTTCTTGGTAAGTGGATAGAATAAAAAGAGGGTGAACCCAGCAGTGATCGAGACTGTGCGGGGCAGGGAGTGAGGGCCCAGAATGTGGCAGTGGATATCTCCTGCTGCGTATCATAGTACGTTATATGATGTCAAGTGCTGTACACATTCCTAGTTATTTAATGAAATTGTTTTGAAGGTAAGACTTCATGATTCGGGTTAACGTGATACTAGTGTAACTGCAGCAAGCCTGTATGGTGGCGTGTTTCACTGGGGTGGGGGTCTTGTGTCTTGTTTACATTAGATTATAATCGTGTTTAACCGTCTTTAATTACCCGCCCGCATCCTCAAACACTTTACAGTCATTTAATTTGAACATGGTTCTGTTCAGATACAGGCCTTATTAGTCTCTCGATTACAACCATAATCAGGGAAGAGTGTATGCATAAACATGTTGTGGTGAACATGGATGTCAGCAAACTTGGTGTGGTCATATTGGAGAATTAAATCTTACAAGCATTTTCGGTAATTATGGAGATGTTTCTCTTTACTTCAACTGGACAATTAACAGTTGTAGCCAGCCTGCTTTCTGGTACTCCATTCCAGAAAGCGCTACTAACACTTCTGGTGGCTGAAAGACTCCTGAAACTTGAACAAAATACCCTTTTGTGGAATGTAGAAAACTTGTGTGAAATTGTTACCGATCTGATTTTTTTTTTTTTAATTTAAGAAACTGGTTGTAGATGTGGCCAAACACTAGTAACACTGGCTTGTGTAGAGTATAATTGACAATAATATTACACGTAAGTGAAAGACTTTTGGACGGTTTTTAAAAATTAACATAGTATTGGCAGTACCAGTAATTTCTTCACAATAATATTGACCCATTTCAGTCTGTATGAACCCTTTAACTTAAACGTTGACTGCAGGTGTATGCTTTGTATCATGTGCTCACAAGCATATTGTTTCTGTTGAATTTTACTACAGAAAGATGACATCCTTTTAAGGAATATTTTTTAATATGTGAAGGGAAAAGCCACCATTACTTAATGTTTTAGCATTGGCTTAGTTTCACTTGGTAATTCCCTGCAAGATATTTTGACAATACTTATCTTTTTGATTCTCTAGCTTGGTGATAATTTGAAAATGTAACCTGGGTATTGTAGATAATGGTAGTTCTATTTTCTGTCTTAACTTGCTTAAACTTCAATTCAGTACATTTGTTAAAACTGTGGGTACTACTTTATATTCTTGAAAACTGCTCTTTCAGTATTCTAAGCATTGTATCAGAATAGTTCTAAGACATGTCTGTGTCAATGAATATGAGAAAATGATTTATAGCACTATTATAAATGTCATATCAAATGCCACTGTAATTGCTAAAAATTGTAGATTTAGTTGTAAGTTAACCCACAGAAGTAGATGATTGAGTCACATTTCAAGTTGAAATAGATGTTTTTCTGTCAATTCCAGGAAATAGTTGTGTATATGATATTTAGTCAACTTTGAGTCCTGATAGTTACCTAAGCCTCTCTCAACTTGTTTGCTATTTTAGACTCTGGTCAACAATATTAGTAAACTTTAGATTTGATTTTATGTAGAACCCTCCCAATTCACCAGCTAATGTGTATGTTAGCCTTTAGTAGCTCAAGTTTGTTTAATATTCTGAGTATCTAGAATTGCGATATGCACAAGTGGTTGACCTATAAGATTTACTGGTGCAAGTATGAATCAGGAGGTATTAAACAATAATAAAACAGTAAAAAAACAACCAGGCCATTTAAAACTGAAGCCTTTATCTTGGCATACTTTTAAATTTAAGTTTCCCATAGGAACTATTTTTTTAAAAATACAGATGCGTAAATGTCTGTTTATTTTAAATCATATCCTTTTAGAACTGAAAGCCATCCTAGAGATAATCTAGCCCAACTTAGGTTTTGTTCTGTTTTGTTTTTTGATTGAAAAAAAGTTAAGAACCAAAGTGACTTAAAATGTTTCAATCTCCAGATATTTACTGACAGAGGGGTAGGTTTTGTTTTGTTTTTTGATTGAAAAGAAGTTAAGAACCAAAGTGACTTAAAATGTTTCAATCTCCAGATATTTACCGTCGGAAGGGTAAAGCTAGAACCCAGTTCTCCTGGCCTCTCATTATGGTAACAAACAAGAACCTGAAAAATGACATACCCTTGATCCATTCAGTGAAGATTATTGTGTCACCAAGTTATCTTCACCAAGGGACAGTTGCCCTTACATCAATCTCAAGAGATTAAAAACCTCCAAAATGTTCCGTTTTCCGTGGATAACCTGTAATGGGTCAATGGAGTATATGGGGTTGAACCTTACAAAATTGCCAATACTTGATTAATAAAAATGATAGCTTATTATGATTCTTCCTAATTGTAAAAGATGTAAAAAAAAAAAAAAAAAAGGACAAATGTGAGACACTTTCAGTTACTCTGTACTTAACCATTTTATCTTTACCTGTTTTCATAGTAACATTTTCAGTTGTTGGTATCTTTTTGAAGTTCTTAAACTTACTCTCAGCAAATGTAACATAGTACTTCCATTTATTTGTTCTAAATTTAACTTTTTGGCTTCCTCCAGTTTTCTATTTGTAGTGTTCTAGAATTTGGGAATCTCTCACTTTATTTTTTTCATAGTTTTATAGACTGACAACCCTTTGGCCTTGTAGTGTTAAGTCTTAATCTTGCCGGGGATTTTTCAGTTCCCATCCTTGAAAAAATACATTTAATAGCGTGAATTCCAAATGTATATGCAGAGCTTTTATTTGGAAAAATTGACAAGCAATTTAGTGATTCCTGTAAATGTACCACATATTCATGAGTAGTTTATCAGGAAAAAAAAATGCAGCATTGGTCTTCACTACTAATGTCATCGTAATGGTGTATGATATATTGGGCTTTTTAGATGATGTATACAGCTTGATTTTTGCTCCTATAGATTCTAAATTAGGAAGAAATCAGGTCTTAAGAATGAACTAATTTAATATTTTGTTTGCTTATTCCATGCTCAAAGGACAAAGATTTGTTTGAAATTCCTGTTCAGATTGAAAGTACTGTCCAGTTGTATTGTGTTTAATGGTTTTAATTTTTCCTCATTTTTGGATAGTTTTATATAAGGTGTAGCTATTCTGAGGTTTGTATCATCAATCTAATACAGGTTTTCATTTCACCTGAGCCTGGCTTATGAGGTCAGGCCAAAATTTTTTCTGGCCCTTTTAAATATACCATTTGGTCTGTGATAATTTTATGTATGTGTATGTATTTATACGTGTCTGTATATACGCACATATATTTGAAGTGAGTTTCAAATCAGAAAAAGCTTTCAGAGTTGGTCGAGGCGATTTTTGTGCATACTTCAGGTCTTTGTTTAAAAAATTTTTTTAAAAGATTGATGTATTGTGAGGGAAAAAATTAGAAATAACAATTTCAGAGGTTTATTGACCCAAAATAGTTTTGGAATGTGTGATAAACCAGAAATGAATTAGCGTGGGTTGTTGAATTTCATATTCCTTCAAAAGGATTTTTCCGACCTAGTTTAGGTTTGCATGAAATGGATTAGAATTATCTTGCTGAAAAGATTTCTCCACAGTTAAAAAAAGGCCTTTTAATCAATTTACAGAATGACAGACTAAAAAAGTCACAAATTTAAAATATGTATTAATTATAAATTGGACATTACTTATTAGTTTTTTGACTCATTTCTGCTTTTGTTGAAATAGTTTCTTCTGGAAAGTTAATTTATGGAAAACAGACTTCTTACTGACACATTATTTAAACAGTTGGAGATACTGCCCTATTTATATTTACCAGAAATACTGTGTTACTAGAACTTTTTATCAGCATTGGAATTTTTGAAAAACATTTTCAATGGTAACACTAGAAATCTTAATGAAAATGGGGGATGATTAGAATTTAACATGTAGCTTTTAATACTCTGGAAAGCTGTACGTTTTTATTAAAATAGAAATTTCTGTAAAATTAAAGCTTTTAACATAAAGCTTTGATTTTGAACTATAAATATTCTGAGAGCTTTATGACAGTTATCCACACTATCAGGAGTATCCTAAAAATGAGACTATGCTACACTTACATATATTAACAAAAACCTCTTGGGTATGGTCTAAGCAATACCTTATAAACTGTGCTTTTTCTGAAAATTTTTAATTTTTTTTTCCTGATCGAAATCTACCATTCAGGTGTAAATATGTATTATATCTGGCTTTCACTAAAACTTTATTATTAAATTTATTTTCATTTTTTTCTTTTATTGAGATGGGGTCTCACTCTGTCACCTAGGCTGGAGTGCAGTGGCACGATCTCAGCTCACTGTAGCCTCTCCCTTCCTGGCTCAAGCCATTCTCCTATCTCAGCTTTCCAAGTAGCTGGAACTACAGGTGCATGCCACCACACCTGGCTAATTTAAGTAATTTTGGTGGAGACAGGGTTTTGCCATGTTGCCCACGCTGATCTCAAACCCCTGAGCTCAAGCAATCTGCCTGCGCCTGCCTCCCAAAGTGCTGGGTTTACAGGCATGAGCCACAGCACCTGGCCATTATTACTAAATTTAACTGAATATATTTAAATTTACATTCTGCTGATGGGCAAGTTTTACAATATTTTATGTCCTAATGAATAGACTTTTTCTTTATAATCATTTTTTTTTTGCATATTTCCCCTTCCAGAACCTTAGGTCTTTGTTGCAAATAATTGTGATTTTAAGCACCTCATATGTAATCTTATAAAGTACTTGAATGTTTACCTTGTGGAATCTTGTCTTTTTTCCCTAGGCTTTAATAGTAAGCATAAAAAATTCATGTTCTAAAGAATATTGAGAAATTTTAACACTGGAACATTTAAAGGAGTTAGGGGATTTAGATTTCTGAAACTTCTGTGACTGCTGTCTTGCAAGAGTTCCCATTATCTTCCCCCGTCGAAAATGCTTACCAATGGTTGGTTGTTGTTTTCTCTGGATAATTGTGCAGTACCTGATGGCAATGTATTCTTCATAACTGTTTGTTTATTTTTAAGGCCATGGTAGGGGAGGAGTGTGTAGGTGCCATCGTTTGCAAGTTGGATATGCACAAAAAGATGTTCCGCAGAGGTTATATAGCCATGTTAGCCGTGGATTCCAAATACAGGAGAAATGGCATTGGTAAGAAAAATATTATTTTATGGAAAGAATGCCTAAGCTATTTTCATTTTTGTTGTGTTTTGAAATAAAAGACTTAAATGTAAGTATGTAGAAATGAAAGAAACTAAGGGAAGAAAATTAAGGCGGGTTTTAATTTTTAATTTCAAAATGGTATTTTTAAAAAGTTCTTAAAATGAATTTTTTCTTTATTAATGTTTTGTTTGACAGTTTTTCGTTTTAACAAGTAGCCGATCATCAGCTTTCACCTGCAGATTTTTTTAATCACATTCAAAATGCTTTGCATTATGCTAAGTACCACAAGAAATACTGCAATTTATAATTACATTATGATGGTCCTTCATGCCAGCCTTCAAGCACTTGTCTGTATTTGGGTTAAGTGGACCTCAATCAAGCCAAAATTATGGACAAATTGTTACCATTACTTGGTGCTAGTCATCAACTATATATTGCAATTCAGGAAAGATCAGGAGATGAGAATTGATTGTTTCTTGTAATTCCCAAACTTAATTTTTTGTTGGGTCTACTTTTCCTGACATGTTTAGTTAATCTTAACACTCATGATTTATAATGATCATTAGAATCATGTGGGTGGTTTAAAAACATGTATTTGGGCCCCTCACCCTGAGACTCTTGTTTGTCTTGTCAGAGGTGGGGCTGAAGCTTCCCTAGGTGACTGTGATGTAAGCCTGATTAAGAACCACTCTTCTATGGCTGGGTTAGATAACTTTTGTCATTTAAATAACGCCATAAAACTCAATAGGCCACCAGGTGCCGGGTGCGGTGGCTCACGCCTATAATCCCAGCATTTTGGGAGGCCAAGGCAGGTGAGTCACTAGGTCAGGAGTTCAAGACCAGCCTGGGCAAGATGGCGAAACCCTGTCTCTACTAAAAATACAAAAATTAGCTGGGAGTGGTGGTGGGCACCTGTCATCCCAGCTACTCAGGAGGCTGAGGCAGGAGAATTGATTGAACCTGGGAGGTGGAGGTTGCAGTGAGCGTGCCACTGCACTCTAGCCTGGGTGACAGAGCAAGACTCCGTTTCAAAAAACCACTCTTCTATTCTCTAGGACCTAGTGGCTCTTTGTTCACAGTGGAGAATTGGGTAGACAAGCATTTGTCTAAGCATGTCAAATTTTGTGATGTGCTTTAGCTGAGTATTCATAAAAAAAAGTTTAATACCTGTACCAGTATTTAATCATTAGTTTTTTCACTTTCATGTTTTTTAAAAACTATTAAGTGTTATTGTCCAACCTAAGACTCACACACGGTCCTAGGTATCATGAGAAGTAACTATAAATAGGTTTACTTAATATGTTAGGTTTAGCCAACTTTATTGCAGTGTTACAGCTTTCCACTAAGATTTTTAATGAATTGGGCTTGTTTTATGGACTAAGTTTGAGCCTTTGATGCATTAAAAAGCACTGATAAGGACTCATGATAAATTATAGCCAATTGTTTGGCTAGTTTGGAGGGCAGAAACCAGTGGCTTTTGGGTTGCATCCTGGCCTTCAGACATACTTTGTTTGGGCCATAAAATGCGTGCATACTTGTATGCATGGCTTGAAAATTAAGAGTTTTTAATTTAATTTTATTATTTTTTGAGACAGAGCTTCGCTGTATTGCCCAGGCTGGAGTGCAGTGGTGTGATCCCGGCTCACTGCAACCTCTAGCACCTAGATTCAAGCAATTCTTGTGCCTCAGCCTCCCAAGCACCTGGGACTACAGGCACACACCACCACACCCAGCTGATTTATTTTTTTTATTATTATTTTTTTTTGAGATAGTCTCACTCTGTCGCCCAGGTTGGAGCGCAGTGGCATGATCTCGACTCACTGCAACCTCCGCCTCCTGTGTTCAAGTGATTTTCCTGCCTCCGCCTCCCAAGTAGCTGGGATTACAGGCACCCTCCACCTGTAATGCCTGGCTAATTTTTTATTTTTTAGTAGAGATGGGGTTTCGTCATGTTGGCCAGGCTGGTCTTGAACTCCTGACCTCCGGTGATCCGCCCACCTTGGCCTCCCAAAGTGCTGGGATTATAGGCTGAGCCACTGCACCCAGCCAGTTTTTTGTATTTTTAGTAGAGATGGGGTTTTGCCATGACCTCAGCCTCCAAAATGCTGGGATTACAGGCGTGAGCCACCACGCCTGGCCAATTTTTTGTATTTTTAATAGAGACGGGGTTTCACCATGTTGGCCAGGCTGGTCTTGAACTCTTGGCCTCAAGTGATCCACCTGCCTTGGCTTCCCAAAGTGCTGGGATTACAGGCGTGAACCACTGCGCCCAGCCTAAGAGTTTTTAAATAAAATTTGTCTGTCTGCTCTTAAAATCAGATTTGGCAAATTTTTTCCCTTTTAATATACCAATTATATTTGACCCTAAACTAGGATACATTTTGCTAGACATGTACAGACACACCACTGACATCATTGGGAGTGCCAGACTTGCCAGACTTCATCGTGCTCACTGTAAAGTTTATAGGAACCTACTGTGGGTAACAGCAGTTCTGATGAGGTTGTCTTGTCCCTTGTGTCCAGGGGAGTTTGAAGGATCTTTGGTGAGATCAGCTTGGGTTATGCAGTAAGTTCTGGCCAACTCACGGGGAGTTCCTGCGTTGTTCTGGCCATACCATATCTTGTCTTTTTCTCTTTCGCTTTCCTACTGCTTTCAAACACAATAGAACAAACTCCTGCTTGTGGCAAATAATTATGTCTGAGAAAAAGGAGTATATTGGGAGATAGGTCTTTCAAGAGGAAACATACTGTTATGTATAGGTTCTGTTGGCTTCTCTTAGCTTATAGCTAAAATTTTTCCCATTTAATTTGAGGTAATCCGTGTATCTGGATTCAAGATAGAAACTAGCATTTGACATTTCTGTGCTTACGAATATTATAATTTAGGTTATCTTTAAGAAATACATTTTTCCTTCATTAATACTCAGATCTATATTCTAGGTACTAACTTGGTTAAGAAAGCTATATATGCCATGGTTGAGGGAGACTGTGATGAGGTAAGTCTTTAAAAATGTTTAATATTTTTTATCTGGGCATTATTCTTTCTGGGTATTTTTAATAAATATTTTATAATTTATTGCAGATTTCATTGCAGTGTTACTATACAAATGCAGCTTGTGGGGAAAATTATATTCCATTTAAAAACACATGAATTTTTGACCTAGAACAAATTTTAAAATGGAGCTAAAATTTCTTCAAAATGTGTGGGGGGAATCTTAGACATTTTCAGTACACAATTTTGGTATTCAGAGGCTTTATCATCAGTTATTTAAGGTAGCTCTTATTACAGACTCTGTTATAATTTGCTTACATATTGGCCTTAGTTTCTGACAATGGGAAACTGTCAGTCTATATGGAGGACATTTCACACTTGAAAATAATCTTTTCAGAATTAAATAATGACAATGTTGGCTAGGGGGAAGACAACCACTTTTAAAGAGTAGAGCTATCTGCGCATTAACATAAGAGCATTTTCTCTCTTCAGCTTGTTTGTAAGGTCTGATGGCAGATATTTCTTTGTATCCTACTGCACGGTGTTTCTACATATAGTAGGTGCATGATAAATATTGGTGATGATTGGGAATGTTAACATTTACTGTTGCACAGTGTGGAAGGGAACAAGTATAAACTAGAGAAGTATAGATGTCTTTAACATAGCAGTGGTGACTAAGGAGGAGCAAAGTTGTACTAGTACTTTTATGAGTAATAGAAGTAGCAATTGTCTTTATTATTAGAGGTCAGATGTGCCTTAGAGAATTCTCAAAATATGTGAAATTGGGTAAGTTTTTTTAAAAGGTTGACCTTAATAAATAATTTGTTTAGTGACTTAAAAGAAATGGAGTGTTTTGGTACAAAATTTATACACAGTCAGCATATATGATATATGTATGCATGTGTTTTTGTTAACAAAGTCCCTTCTACCATTCTCATGCTTTTCAACTCTTTATCCATCTTTCCATTGATAGCTACTGTTTTTTGTTGTTGTTTGTTGTTGTGGGGTTTTTTTTTGTTTTTTTTTTGTTTTTGTAGAGATGGGAGTCTTGCTATGTTGTCCAGCTGGAGACCACTCCAGCTCCTGGCCTCAGGTGATCCTTCCACCTCAGCCTCTCAAGTGTTGTGATTACAGGCATGAGCCGTTGCTCCTGGCCTGTTGCTACTGTTAACTGTTTGAAATGCTTTCTCTCATTTTTTAAACACACCTATGTGCAAATATATAGTTTTTAAAAATACAAATGAAGTAATTCTTATTCAATAATTATTAGCAATAATAATTGCTTTTTTCTTTTAACAATATCTCATGAATGCATTTCCGTGTTAGAATACAGAGATTTACTGCTGAGCATTCTCAGGCTCCTTGTTCACATTAGGCTCTATTCTGACAGATCCATTCTAAGTGGTGGTTATATGAGAAGGCCTACAGACATAGTGGGTGGCACAGTGAAGTCATCCTGGGATTTAAAAATATCTAATTTTACTCCAAAGAAATAATTCACAGGTGTTGAAGGATCTCACATTGTTCACAGCTTTTAATATTATAATGCAAAAGGTGCAGTCGCCAAAGCTTTACATGACTGGTAACTGAAATTTCGAGGAGAGAATTGGATCAGATATGTTCATGAGTATAGGTCCATGTTTGGACCATAGCCACACTGCTTGTCAGCTCATCGAGAAAAGTCAGGTTTCACAAAAGTTGCTTAACAGCTTGGAGAAATCTTCGGGATAATAGATCATGTTTTGATCTTCTGCAGATCCAGTGAACAGGGGTGTTAAGAGCAGAGAGTATTATGTTCCCTATGATTAAACCTTTTCTGAGTTATCCTACTTGCTATCCTAAGTTACTACTTGTGAGGCAGGCTATGTGCTTTTGTTTAACTGTTCAAAGGTTTGGATAGTGTTGGCTTTTCATGTAAAGATGTCAGGAATGATATGAAGATTTTTATTGTTTTGGTCTCAAGGTTAAATTCTAAATTAATGATATATTTTATGGTAGAAAAACTTCATTTCCAGCCTAAAAAGCTAATGCTGATTCATTCATTTTTTCTTTTGAAACAATGAATGTTACTTAATCTTTAGGCTGACATCAGGGATAGCTTTGTGAACTTTCTCCTTTTGTATGATTATGGTTTTGCAGTTTGTGAATACCTCTGTCTCTGGATTAGATAACTTTGTCTTGGTATAAAAATTTTGCTTATCTGTGTCCAGTGTTATTCAGATCGAATAATTTGCCATACGAACTCTTGTTTACTCTTTAGAAGATATGGTAGCTATTTGGTTTTCCTTTGCTTGTTAAAATACTTTAGTCTTTAAGACCCAATTCAAATACCAACAACTCCTTTAAGTTTTTCTTGATCCTTCTGGACAGAATCCATTTCACTTTTCTGTTATTTTTGCTACTCTTTTTGTAATTATTGCACTTAATTTCACTTGTTCAGTGCCTTAGCACAATGTAGGACAGAGATGCCTTCTCTTGTTTGTTGCTGTATTCTTAGTGCTTAGTGTGACATTTGTGATAGAGTACCTGCTTTGTAAATATTTTTTGAATGATCAGTTCTGTGCTTCCAGCATGATGTTTGTAATCCCTCTCTCTCTTGTTTAAGTACTTTTAAATTTTGACTTGTATTGTTATTAACTTGTCTTTCTCTCTGAACTTTCTGTGTGCTTTCTAAAAACACCAATTGTCTTATTTTTGTTCATAGTAGGATTTTTTTTAAAAAAAGGCATCTTTAGGGTTAACCAAGTTGTTAAAATGCCTTTGAAATGATAAATCTCCAAAAATACAGCGATTAATGAAAAGGCAAATAAACATGTGCTTTCACTTTCATTAATTTAGACCAACCTTCCTTTCTTTTAAAGGGTTTAGAAATTTTGACAAATTATCTGAAAATCTGTGAAAGACATTTCAGAAGGGTTTTAAATTAGATTTTCTACTACTTAGGTTATTCTGCTATTTTTAAAATTCTTACAAAGAGAGAGATTTTAAAATCTGTGAACCTTTTAATAGAGGTACATTTGGCCAGGCACTGTGGCTCACGCCTGTAATCCCAGCACTTTGGGAGTCCAAGGCTGGCGGATCACTTGAGGTCAGGAGTTGGAGATCAGCCTGGCCGACATGGTGAAACCCCGTCTCTACTAAAAATACGAAAATTAGCTGGGCGTGGTGCCACACGCCTATAGTCCCAGCTACTCGGGAGGCTGAGGCAGGAGAATCGCTTGAACCCGAGAGGTGGAAGTTGCAGTGAGCCAAGATTGCACCGCTGCTTTCCAGCCTGGGAGACAGAGTGAGACTCTCATAAAGAAAGAGATACATTTGGAAATCTCCGTGAAACCTTACTGTGCTCCGTGGCCGGAAAAAAAAAAAAAAAAAGATACATTGGAAATCTCTGTGAAACCTTACTGTGCACATCAAACAATTTTTACTTTCTATTCTGTATACAGAATTTGTGACCTTGAGTCATGTTTATATTGTTCTTTGTTGTTACTAGTCATTTTAAGCTCAGAGTATTCAGCCAGTTATTAGTAATCACAGAATTGAAAGGTAGATGTTTTTCTCCAAATAATGCTGCACTGTTCCTAGTCTAATTGATGTTTTCATTTTGTCTTACTGTAAGTTTCCCAACTTTTCATATCAGAATTAGACATATGTTAAAACAGTATAGCTAAAAAATTTTTTCATTTTCTATGTATTTGGAGCTGACTAAAAAATTATAGTATCAAAACAAGAAACAAGTGGATTTGTTACTTGATGAGTAAGAAATATATTACCAGTATGCTGATCTGGCTTAAATTTGTTTACACCCCCTGCACGCTCTGGCTGCCAGATGTGTAGTGGCTAGGACAAGTATCTCAGGTTCATGTTTCACAATAGAAGAAAGAATAAGATAAATACATATAGAATGAATGAGTTTTCTATGATGTAGATTTTAAAATAGGATCTGTGTACCTAAAATCAACCTACTTGGTGGCCATTTACATTTATGTACTTTTTTTCCTGAAGTAAATTAGAATATGGGCAGGTGATTGATCAGTATCAGTATGATGAATAGTGCCTCGATTTTTAAGCCATTGATATCCTTAAAATCTTAATCTCTGAAAACTTCAAGGTTGTTTTTGTTTTGTTTTGTTTTGTTTGTTTGTTTTGTTTTTAGAGTTTTAGGCTGAGCACGGTGTCTCACGCCTGTAATCCCAGCACTTTGGGAGGCCAAGGTGGGTGGATCACGAGGTCAGGAGTTCGAGACCAGCCTGGCCAATATGGTGAAACCCCGTCTCTACTAAAAATATACAAAAATTAGCCAGGTGTGGTGGTGCGTGCCTGTAATCCCAGCTACTGGGGAGGCTGAGGCAGGAGAATCACTTGAACCCAGGAGGTGGAGGTTGCAGTGAGCCGAGATCGCGCCATTGCACTCCAGCCTGGGGGCCAGAGCAAGACTCCATCACACACACACACACAAAAAGAGTTTTTAGGTCGATTACTGTGAATATGAATAGCCAGAGATAACTGATCAGAATACAGTGGAATTAGGATTTCTTAATGGAATTTATAGTATCTTAAAATATTTTTAGTTGAAAATCACGTCATCTAATTTTTGCTTATTTATATTAAAGACATTTTTTCCATTGAAAAACCGTAATGAACATTACAGAAAACTTGGGAAACAGAAGAAGAAAGTTCACTACCTACCTTTCTAGCACGTTGTATTAGTCCGTTTTCACATTGCTGATAAAGACATACCTGAGACTGGGCAGTTTACAAAAGAAAGAGTACCACGTTGGATTTACAGTTCCACATGGCTGGGGAAGCCTCAAAATCATGGCAGAAGGCAAGGAGGAGCAAGTCGCATCTTACGTGGATGGTGGCAGGCAAAGAGAAGAGAGCTTGTGCAGGGGAATTCCTCTTTTTAAAACCATCGGATCTCGTGAGACTTAATTCACTCACGAGAACAGCACGGGAACGACTTGCCCCATGATTTAGAGACTCCCACCAAGTCCCTCCCACAGCACATGGGGATTCAGGATGAGATTTGGGTGGAGACACAGCCAAACAGTATCACACATCCAATTTGGTGTTTTCTTTCCATTCTTTTTTTGTTGCGTACATTTATTTTTACTAGACAGTTTCTTCTGTAAATAGTATGCCATGTAACTTGCGGCAGACTGTTTACAATCTGCTATTCAAACCCATGACTTTCCCTGCAACCTGATTTGCTTGACCTACTTAATGCTACTTATTTCTAGCAATATAAAGGTAATGCAAAAGACATTTTGGTAAATTTTAGATAATATAGTAGCTGACTCTATTTTGTACAATTAAAAGAATAAAATAGATCACATTAGCACTAATGAGTAAATTAGATTATTAGGAGCCAAGAAGATCTAAGTTATTTTTTGAAATAACTTATACTTTTCTAAATTAGAAAAGTCCAACTTAGAAAAGGTACAGTCATTCTTTTTCCCCCATTATAAAAGGTTACTTTTTATCTTTTTAATTAGACTATATTTATTGTGTTTATTATGTATTTACTAATAATATATATGTGTATATATATATATATAAAACATCTTTAGTTTCACTGGAAACATTATGCTATGTGATAGAGCCTGCAAGGTAAAGAACAGAATACAGTGGGGTTAGTTAAGCTGCAAGGATTTTGGGTGAGTAGTTTGGCCTAATAACTGATTATGAGACACCTGGTTTCCATATTTATCTTCTGTCACTTGGCAGTTGTGTGATTGTAGGCAGGCCATTTAACTTTTTCTGGTCTCTCTCTTTGTCTATGCAACATGATGTTAATTCTGATCTTAAAGATACGTTGTGAAGAGCAGTACTGTTTGTTGTTCATTCAGGAAATAGCAGTGGAAGGGCTTCTAGGTGCCAGACAGTGTGGTAGTGCTAAAGTTCTAGCAGTGAACAAGCCTGCTCTCCAGGAGCTTCCAGCCTACAGTATTAAAAAATACTATCTTAAGCAGTAATGTTTTGTAATGGTTTGGCTTATCCTGATAATGATCTGTTACTGTTGCTAAGAGGATCGGTGGAATTTCACTGTAATTTTTTTTTCTGTTAGGTAGAATTCAACTCTGTCAAGTTTCTTTAGGACCAAAATAACTTCATTTTATGGTGAATTTCTAATATAAATTCAGATATTCTTTTAATATGTTTATAAGAATTTAAGAATTAAAAATTAGTTACTTTATCCTGGCATTTTTCTGTTGTGTCAAATAATTTTCTAAAGAAAGAATCTCTTTGTTTAGAAAATATGAGTGTGCCAGGAGAATCTTTACATTTTGACTAGATTAGACATTGGTGTAACTTTTTTCTATGTAATTGAGCTTCATTTCATTAATATATTAGGATGCAAACAAACTTGAACTCAGTTCTTAACCACACTTTAAGTGTGTATTTGTGTAGTGGTGGTAGCCTCAGATGTGTTTGGAATATTTTAGATTGCTAAATATTGATGGTGGACTTAAAATCCATTTCATCTTGTCTTAAGTAGGTTAGATTTCCCAGTCACTGCTTTGCTTTACTTTGGGAAATGAGGGGGAGGTACAGTAGAGTAGTTACTATTAAGCTTTAGTTCATAATTGGACTCTGTTCTGTCCTTGCTCTGTTGGTGGCCTTGAGTTTTATTCATCTGTAAAATGGATAACCACATCAATTTCATAGGGTTATTGTGAAAATAAAACTACATAATACATATAGAATGCTTTACATTGCACATAGTACAGCTCCAATAAATATTAGCTGTCATATTTTAAAATTGTCACTTTTTATTTACGTGAAATCAATTCCAAGTTTTGAGTTGTTGTGACTTTAGTGTTTCTCATATTAAATTGCTTTGATTCAACATTTTAGCTATAATTAGGTGCTGGACCTCATAACAATTGCAGGAATTACCCAAGAGAATTGTTAAAAACTAAAAACTTGTATTGACCAGACTGTGGTGTTACAGACTCTAGTATGACATACGTTACTAGAAATTTAATTATGTCTGTGTGTGTATGTGTGAGTATTTTAATTTGTTTTTTGAGACAGAGTCTCGCTCTGTCACCCAGGCTAGAGTGCAGTGGTGCACTCACAGCTCACTGCAGCCTCAACCCCCTCGGCTCAAGTGATCCTCCCACCTCTGCCCCTCCAAGTAGCTGAGACTATAGGCACACACCACCACACCTGGCTAATTTTTAAGGTTTTTTAGACATGGGCTTTCACCACGTTGCCTAGCCTGGTCCCAAACTCCTGGGCTCAAGTGATCTGCCTTGACCTCCCAAAGTGCTGGGATTATAGACATGAGCCACCAAACCTGGCCAAATTGTGTTTTTTTTAAGTGCAGAGAGAAATTGACGTTTACTTAAACCAATTTGTTTGCTGTACAACTTGTATTTTAGGTTTTCTTAGGAGCGTGTTTTCTTGATCCTGAACTGTTAATTACTTCATTTTAGATCTTTTAAAGGTTTAGATTTAGCATTGGTCCCTGCTGTTGTTGGGCTTACCAGCTAGGAGAGATGACATACCACTCATCAAATGTTGAATAAGAATGTGTCATAGGAACGGTGCAGAATGTTGCTGGGTGATATAAAAGGAAAGGGGCACTGTACCCAATCCAGAAGTGACAAGGTAGGGCCAAAAGAGAGGAGGATAGGAAGAGCATTCTTCTAGACAGAAAACAGTTTATTTGAATGTTCTAAGGTGGGAAAGATCATGGTGGGTTCCAGAAACTGAAAATTCAGTGTTGAGCATGGAAAGCAAGAAGAGAGAGACCTAAAGCAAAGCTGAGGCCAATATATTGATGGACTTTTTATGTCTCTTGATATTATTTTTAGATTGTGGACTTTCTCTTGAGGACAAGAGGGAATCAGTAAACGGTTTTAAGTAGAGAATTAACAAGAGCATCACCCTAACTCTAGAGAGAATGGGAGACCTCTTGAGTTAGGAGGCTCTTGTAATTATAGTGAGAGTTGATGGCAGCTTGGACTGTGGTATATCGAGCATAGAAAGAAGAGGACCACTTAGAGATTTAAGAGGGAGAATTGACAATAATCAGTGCTTGGATGCATATAGGTGGTTGGAGAGGAATGAGGTTCAAAGATGACTCCTGGGTTTCAGGTTTGAGGCATTGGTGTGGTGGGGGGTGATCCTGTTTACTGAGATATGGAATTGAGGAGGAAGAGCAGATTATGAGTTCAATTTTGGATATAAGTTGAGGTACTGTCTTTATTATTTGCATCAGTTGTTTGCATTCTTGTCAGACTTTTTGATAGCTTGAGAAAGAACAGGAAGAGACTTATGCTTCACTTGGGCCTTTGTTTAATTATACTTTGCCATTTCCCCCCCACCCACTCCAAACACTTGAGGGTTATGACACCCAATAGTAACTGTGGCTCACTGTGTTGATAGTTCTCAATGAAATAAGTTGAGAAACAATTGAAAAGGCAAATAGAGCTACGTGTGTAAAAGTTGGGAAGATGGGGTAGAGGGTGTTAGAGGGAGGTAAAAATAAAATCGCAGTTTTCAAAAATACCAGTTATTCATTGTCAGGGCCACTGGCTCAGTAATATTTCAAAAGACTTAAATGAAAGTTAATACTATGTGTTCCTCTGTTAAGCTTTGCTATATAGACCAGTGGTTCTCAAAATGTGGTCCCTTGACCGCAGCAACATCATCATCTAGCAATTTAAAAATATTAAAAATGCAGATTCTTGTGTCCTACTGCAAACGTACTCATAAACTCTGAGGGTGGGGCTCAGCAATCTATTTTAACAGACCCTTCAGGTGATTATGATACACTGTAACATTTTGAATACCTCTTGTCTGGATTCAGCAAACTTTCTTGGTAAAAGGCCCACTAGTAATTATTTTAGGCTTTGTGGACCATAGGTCTTTGTGGCAACTGCTCAGCTCTGCCCTTGTATTGAGAAAGCCACCACAGACATCATGTAAACAAATAAACATGGCTGTTTGACTAAAACTTTATTTACAAAACAGCAGGCACATTTGGCCCAAAGTCTATAGTTTGCAGACTCTGGTCGAGACTCCAGACAAATATGGTAGTTATTGCCAGAATAAATGACATATTAATGAAAATACAGAAGTTGGAAGTCAATCTGAATAGCTGCTTATAATAATATAGCTTATTATTTTAAGGAAATAAACCAGCACTTTTGATTGTTGATTTTATTTTCATCTGTAGTCATTTTACCTTTCCCCACAGGGAAATAATTAATCTTTGTTTTAGTATAAAACATACTCTCATTGCTAAACATTTCAAACTACACAAATCAGTAGAACAGAAGATAAATCTGCAGTGGTCCTCCAAGCCCTTGACCCAAATATAATATTACAATCTTGATGACTGTTTTTGAGTTCTTTCTGTATATTATTTATTGTTTTCACTATCAATTTTTAAAATAATGTATGATTTTTTAAAAAATTGTTTAGTTGGTAAATTATTTTTTAAATTGTGTAATTATAACTTAGTTTTTTTCTCATTTCTTTGAAGGTTGTTTTGGAAACCGAAATAACAAATAAGTCCGCTTTGAAACTTTATGAAAATCTTGGTTTTGTTCGAGATAAGAGGCTGTTCAGATACTATTTAAATGGAGTTGATGCACTGCGACTTAAACTGTGGCTGCGTTGAGAAACTGACATCAAGGAACAACTATCATCCGCACAGAATCGACCTTTGCATGCAATGCAATTTGTACAGAATTGCTTTGCAGGTGGATTTAGTAATTTCCATGCAGCTCTTACCTGTCAGTGTCTCATTGAGTGTCGCACAATATTTGTTGCACTTTGGCATGGCACATTTGTTCTGAATTAAAAGATTGTTTTAAACTTCAGGAGTTCTTTTGGTACCAACAAGATGTGCCAGTTGATAGCCAAGATTTATGTGTTCATTTGCAAAGTCTGCTGACAATGTTATTTACACAGTGATCATTTTATCACAGAACCAGTAAGTGGAACATAATTTTTGTTCCTTAAAAAAGCCAATGTGGATTGTAAAAGTCTTTAAGTATACTAACATTTCACACAAAACCTGCCCTAGTTTTCTGAAGTGGGTGAGGGAGACGCTTCAGTTTTAGGTTTTATTTTTTCAATATTAAATTTTCCATTCTTGAATATTGGTACCTCAGTGATTAGTGAATGAAAAAAATGTAGGGTGGGTATGTCTTACAATGAGTAAAGGTAACAATTAAATTTTGTCTGCCAGTGCCTGTGTAGATAAGTATATTTGTCTTCATCTCTAGTTTTTGAATGCATGCTATCTTTTCCTTTTCTTTAAGGCCTTTGCAAGCAAACTTTTGTTTTTATTTAAATTCTAAATTTGATAAATTATTTCAGATTTTTATAATTTGGATACTTTTTTCAGGTGAATGAAAGAATGGTTTACTTTAGAAGTCCCTTTTTCCTTACAGTAACAAGTTGAATCTACTTGGAAAATTGAGAAATGGCTCAAAAGAGATAAGAAAAGTTGATGGAGCCGGGAATTGCTGGGGTTTAGATGCACTTTTTCTTTTGAGAGTAAGGGAAGTTTTGGAAAAGAATAGAAAATTAGTGTAAGTTGATATGATTTTATTTAATCAAAATTACTGCTACGCTGCGAAGAACAGCTTTTACAAAGTAGCTGAATTTGTTTTTCCCACTTGATTTGGATTCACATTGCTTTCATTTCTTAAAATGCTTCACTTCAGGTTCTTGGTCTTGGAAATAAATTTCAAGGTGCATTGTATCCATTTTAAGCTGCTTTATTTTATTTTCACTTGTATGAGCAAATTCTTGGGGGAGCTTTGCTTTTCTTCTGCCAGAAAAACAAAAGGGGGAAATGAAAATCTTTTTTGGAATGAGTTCTGTGGGTTTTCTTAACAGCCACCATGTTTATTAGTTACATTGTGTTTTGGCCAATCAGTGCAATGTAACAAATTTTACAGTTAATTGCTTTCAATTGAGTCAGTAAACCTGTGATAGATAATTTATTTAACTGGAAAACCTAGGTACCCATAAGAAAAAAGATTCATTCTCTGTGAAAACTGTAGGAATCTGTTGTTGTTTTCATTTGAATATGCTCTACTTCTGCTCTAGTATTTGGTTTGGAATATATTTTGTGGCTCTAATTACTGTATTTTTAAAAACCCTACCTCCATTAACAGTTGGTAAAGGCCCCTTTTCAGGAAAGTTTGTTGCTTTTTTTTTTTTTTTAAAGGAAAGCTGCTCTTTGCTCAGTATAGTGTTTTGAAAGTGAACATAGTAACAAATACTTTAAAAATAAAGATACACAATTTATATTTGAAAATAAAAACTTTCTGCTGGTGGGATTATTTATAGTTCTTTATTTTTAAAGAAAATGTTTTCCTTTTTATATTGCTCTTGAAAGTTTAATGAGCAGAATACAATACTGGTTATAATAAAAATATGGTAACCACACAGTACTCAGCCTTTCAATATGTTTTTGGTCAAACTTCATTTAGGCACTAGCATTTAGAAGAATACCAATCACAGTGATGCTTTTGTTATTTAATATGAAGGAAATGGAACTAAAACATTTATGTCATCAAATTTTATTTCACTTCTTTATATTTGACTTGCTGGTTGATACATAATGGTTGATGAACATATATTTGCTTAAATCACTAATAGGGATGGTTGTAAAGTAGATAGATCATTGGTTCAACCATTTTAGTGTTTTTGCCAGATTGTCAATGAAACCATCATACTGACCTTTTCCTCCAAAATTGCCAAATTGACTGAACTGGTTGGGTGTTTGTAAAGATGACGTTAACTGTGTGACTAAAAAGTCAGATGGTTGCCATATTGTTTGGAATATGTTGAATGTCAGTGTATGCCTTATGTCTTTAATTGGGTATGCAAAAAAATTTTTACTTAAGTAGATTAAAATTTTAACCTCTAGCATGAAAACCCAGCACCAACACTGAAAGACTCCATTCAGGTTGAAGTAGCCTCAAACAGTAATTTACTTTTTGATAATAGGCTGTTGTTTTTCTTAAATAAGCTTAAAACAATTCTATCTGAAATTGGTAGCATGGGTTCACTTGGCTACAACTGAGCAAAATAGATGCAACTTTCTTTTAATGGGGTGCTGCCTCTTTAGGACTGACTGTACTATCCACTGACACTGGTTTGGCAGTTGGTACTGCTGAACATTTTTATACATGCTACCATGAAGCTATATATGTTAGTATTGAAGAAGCTAACGGGTATACTATCATTTTTGATGTGTGGGCTGATTATAATTTCCTGTATTTCCTGTACATTGGGATGAAACTACTTTAGCAAAGTCCACAGATCAGAAACCAGACGGTAGTTTTTGAAGTTGAAACCAGCAAAATAAGAAAAAATAAAAAATCGATTTTAATATTTTCTGCCTCTTTCCCAAATTACCCTTCCCACTTGCTCGACAAATCTATGTAAAGCAGTTTGTTTTTTCATGTTTTAACTTTACCTTGCCCTGTGTTATGGTACTGGCTGACATGTCTAAGACTGGATGTGTATATTTATTATGGTGTCTAAAAATCATGAAGTTCATCACTTTTCAGGAGTATAGATAAAATCAAATTGGTAGTACATCAGAGTTACTTTTCAGTGCACCATGACATCACTAAAATGAGTGCTGTAATGTTACAGGGCTTTCAGGTTTGTAAAAACATAACCATAAATTATATTGACGTCAGATATGAGTTGAGTATCTATAAAATATCACGTGTATCTCAAAATATTGGACTGCTGTTTGACTGGATATTGCTGCATAATTTTCTTCTATTGTCCCATATCCTTTTGGAGAGAGATTTAATGGGATTTGAAATGTGCAAGCTGTCTAAATAAGATGCAGTCAAATAAAGTATGGTTAAGTTGTGTTTGCATTTTTCTTTTAGATACAGCTGTGTGCATTTTATGATTGGGTTGTTTTGCTTTTACCTACTAAGTAAAACAGCAACAAACAATATATTGTTTCCCGCTTCCTGCCTTTCATCTAAGAGTTACGGGGAAGAAGTATTACATAATTGTCATCACTGTTGTGTGTTCTGACAAAGTAAATTTGAAAATAACATGAACTTGATTTTTCTAAAAGTACTCAGTCAACTCATATGTCAGTTATCGGTACATTTTCCATGTGTTCAGTCAAAAGTTTATCTTTTTAGTCTGTTTCATAGCAGTTTATTTCTAAGACAGTTTTTATTTTAATTTACTTTTTTGTCTGTACACTGCCACTCTGTAATGTTCCCCCCACCCCATCCCACCCTTGGTAAGACACCAAAGTAAAATAGAGCAATATCCAAAGAGCTTTTTGCCCCTGTCTTGTGAGGAGCTTTAAATAGCTGTGAATACTTCTGTATGTCAAGATTTTCGGATTTTAGTGGAAGGATGAAATGATCTGTTTTAATCATTTAACTGCTAAATTACTTTTATCATGCATGCCAAATCTTTACATTATTCTTTAGAGTAATACTGTAAAAGTATCTGAGTTTGTTTTATTTGGGCCTTATGTGGAACTCGAAATACTTCATAAATTCACTCTAAGGTCTAAATAAGAACCAGAAGGTTGATACCATTTTTTCACACCAGTAAACACAGATCAGTATTAACCTGTAGCCCAGAGGTGTTAGATTTATTTTTTGAGACAGAGTCTCACTCTGTTGCCCAGGCTGGAGTGCGGTGGCACAATCTTGGCTCACTGCAACCTCTGCCCCCTGGGTTCAAGCAATTCTTGTGCCTTAGCCTCCTGAGTAGCTGGGACTACAGGTGCATGCCACCACGCCCAGCCAATTTCTTGTATTCTTAGTATGAGACAGGGTTTCACCATGTTGGCCAGGCTGGTCTCAAACTCCTGACCTCAAGTGATCTGCCCGCCTCGGCCTCCCAAAGTGTTGGAATTACAGGCGTGAGCCACCACGCCCAGCCTATGATATTCTTTTTATAAGCAACTTTTAAAAAGTTTTTTAAAAGATCTCATAAGCATATAGCACTGCTACACTTTAGATCACTACTGTCCAGTCACACTTTATATAAGGATAGATGTGTCCTTTTCACTCCCCAGTATGGTAGTTACTAGTCACATGTGTAGCTACTGAGCCCCTGAAGTGTGGGTGGGATGATTGAGCTGAATTTGTAATTTTAATCAAAGTTAGCCACATGTGGCTTGTGGCTACTGTATTGGACAGCAGAGCTTTAGATAAGCAGTAATAACAGGAAGGGAGTGTTTGTATAGGTTGAAAGATAAAATGGAAGGATCACAATTAGGCCAGATGTGGTGGCTCACGCCTATTATCCCAGCGTTTTGGGAGGCTGAGATGGTAGTTTGCAACCAGCCAGGACAGCATAGCAAGACTGTTTCTGAAAAATCTTTTAAAATAACACAACTAAAAATTACCTCTGAGCAAGAGTATAGCTGAACTGTTTATACTGACAATATATTTCATTAATACAGTGTTTGACCACTTTCCACCCCACCAACCACTGCCCTTGTTATGTAGCCTTTCTGAGAAAAGCAGCCCTTTCAGATTTTATTGTTGGAAGTTCCTTGGGTTGCAGAGATGCAGATTCAAGTGCCAAAAGTTGTTTCTGATGAGACTTACCTTTTTAGCCTTAAAATATTTGTATAGTTGGCTCTAATAATTTCTCATTTTTGATGAATTTGAAATCATTTCACTTCTAAATGAGATTGGTCATCTCATGAGTGGTCAAGTTGGAACATGGAGGTCTATCATGTTTTTAACCTCCAAGATCCACTTATGGGGATGAGGCCAAAGGCCAATGTTACTTCTAGAAGAACCAGATTAATTTTTCTGCCTTCCATCACCGCAGTGTATTACCTTTGACCCTCGCTGGTCATCTGGTAAGTGTAGTTCATCAAAAGAGCAGAAATAGGCATAGTAAACACCTGGACACAAAGACAGTGCCAGGCTTGGTACAACCTGTTAACACTGTTGAGGAAAGAGCTCAAAACATGCATTACTTTGGGGATTAAGTCAGTGTTTAATCTCAATATGAAACAGACCTAGAAATAACAAAGACCACTGAAGTGCCAAATTTATCTTCTAATACTACTATTTAAACTATGCAATATGGGGGTTATAATGAAATAGTTTTAGTCTATGTAAGGTTTTTATAATGCTAAGAAATAAGCTTATTTTTAGATATGGATTTTTTATGACTACCTCTTTGCTGTATGAATATCTTAATTTTCTAATACCTCAGTTTCATGAGAACTGTATGTACATTTTTGTAAATAAAATAATTTACCATATACTAGGAGAAGGACCTGCTTTTAAAGAAATTGTGTAAAGACATTTGTTATTGGATGTGTTACATAGTAAATCAATTTGAAATTTCTTAAAAACGTTTATAAGACTTTTCTGGTCTCCTTGACCGAGGGATTTTAGTATAAGTATTTAGTGAGATTTGTATTCTAGGAAGTGTGTGCCGTCACTTGTTCATTTACAACTGCAAAGATTGTATGTCTCCTATGTTTTCCTTTCATGCCAAAGAAACTCACCCTTTTTAAAAGCCAGCAGGTTGCACAAACCAAAAACAAAATATTTTGCCCCTTAAATAGGCATTTTAAGAAGTTTTATTTCCTGGTACTTAAATATTGTGTAGAGGGAAAGCTAGTTGTAATAATTTGTAAAAATGCGTGTATTTTTAGGAATGCGCTATTTCCAGTAAGGGAAGTATTGACATTTTTAAGGAACTGTGCTGCATTAAAATCCACAGTTGCATGAAACTTTTAAAAGTTTAAGATATAAAGTAATTGCTAAAATTTGTGAACTACTCAGAGGACTCAATGCCCTAACATGTAGGGGATTGATCATTGCGATGTTTAGGCCAGGATTTCTCATGATTGTATATGGTTATTGATCATTTTTAAGGGGCTGAACCTGCTGCCTTTATACTTTTGACACCTCCCTCCCTCCCTCCCTCCAAACTGTGGCTGTAAACAGTGACTCTGCATAGTCAGCGTTATACTTGATTTCTTTGTGAATGCAAATAAAATAAAATTTGTAAGTCCACCAAATATTGACTTAACTAGGTAAATGTAAACTGATTTCAAATTTGTCTTTGGCCAAGTCTACTTAATAGCTTATAATTTGGAAACGAAGTATATCAATATGGATGTGGGCATTGTGTTTTAAGTCATTGTGGGATATTTTCTTCATATTAGGAACTAATAATGAACGTTCAAAGTTTATTTTTATCCTGATGATAGTGGGCAAGTTTCTTAATTTCTCTGGGCTTTTAGTGATAACTACCTGATGAGCTAATTGTGAAGAATAAATGGAATAATTTATGTACATAAATTACCTTAATGCCTAGTAGCCTAGTACATCGTAAACAAATGGTAGCTATTAATAGTATATATAATATAACTTATATATAATTTTGTATTTTGCATATTGAGTTTTTTGGTTTTTAGTTTTTGTTTTTTGTTTTATGAGACGGAGTCTCTTTTCTGTTGCCCAGGCTGGAGTGCGGTGGTGCGATCTCGGCTCTCTGCAACCTCCACCTCTCAGGTTCAAGGGATTCTCCTGCCTCAGCCTCTCGAGTAGCTAGGACTGCAGTCAAGTGCTACCACGCCCAGCTAATTTTTTGTGTTTTTAGTAGAGACGGGGTTTCAGCGTGTTAGCTAAGCTGCTCTCTATCTCCTGACCTTGTGATCCACCAGCCTCGGCCTCCCAAAGTGCTGAGATTACAGGCGTGAGCCACCGTGCCTGGCTGTCTATTCAGTAGAGTTTTATAGCATTATTTAAAGGAGAAAAGTTATCTAAATATTATGTTAGATCTTACAAGAGTAGCCCAGACTGTAGCAAATGAAGAGAAAAATCTTTTTGCATTTGTAATATGGAGAATATTAACATAGGTAAATAGAAAAGTATAATGAACTCCCCATATACTTATAAATCAGGCCTAATGCCGTGGCTAATCTGGCCCTGTTCGTCTCCACCCACCCCATATTATTTTAAAACAAATCCCAGAGATTATATTTTATCCATAAGTATTTCAGTACTTAAATGGTAAAGTCTCATTTTTAAACAACATAAACCATGATACCATCTCACACTAATCCTTAATCATCATATAACCAGTTAATGTTCCAATTTCTAGGAAATTATTTTTAATAACATTGGGTTACATTCATGGAGAGTAAATATGAATACAGAGGAGTTACTCTTAAGTATATGAGATAATTAAAGGAAATGATTAAGTGGAAAAGTAGAGGTGAGGTTGAGAGTAGGTGTTGTGTCTTGCATATCCCAAGTACCTAATGTTTTCCTATGGATATAATAAGACACTTATTGGGAGAAAAATGGAGCTGACAAATATGGTGAAATTACCAACAGTGACTAAAGAATGACTTTTAGGAGAAGGTGTTGGGTTTTGAAATATACTCAGCAAGGCATGGCAGAAAAGATAATTGGGTGAGTGGGAGAGAAAAAGGCAGTAATATATGCACAGAGTTTTAATAGAGATGATTAAGCAAGTGAAGACAGTTTAGGTGAAAACCTAAGATGCAGCAAAGATAAACACCCTATCATCAAATACTCCAATTACCATGGTCAGAAAGTAATCAGTGGAGGATAATTCAGAATAAATTTACTACAACCGTTATCTGAATTTAAAAAGAAATCTGAAACCATATGGCTGACTAGAGTTGCCAGAAATGAATAAAATTAAGAGATGATTTTATGAGTTCATTGTACTGCAACTACACTAAATATATTGAGTATGAGCCACAGAGTCATTCTCAAACTAGTGAGCCCAGTTTTTTTTTTTTTTGTTTACAAGATCACCCAACTAGAGATGCAGAACACCTTTGTACCACCTAATAGAAAGAGTTCACTATGGTCTGGCATGATTTTATAGGATCCTTGCAGCTGTTGGGATATTAGTCCCTCACTTTGGGGTGGCGAGAGCTCTGATTAAGTTTCTCTATTACCAGGAGGGCAGTTGAGTAATAGTAAAAATAGCACACAGCGAGATTGCCTTCTTACAGTTTTCAAGGTACTTTCACCTACTTTTACTCAGCCTTTAGATGGATCTTTAGAGATGGAAAGATATTTTCATTTTGGTCACACATCAGTGATGTGACTTGAGCCCAGCCCTCCTGAGTCCCATAGGTCTAGTTTTCTTGCTACCACACATGGTGCTTGATTAAACCCAAAGAAGATAGAGCCCAATATGTTTTGTTGGGTAAGTTATAACATTAATGAATCCTATAAAGTTAGTTAAATATGGTTTTATTCAGCATAAAATTTAAGTGCTCTCAAAATGTTTAATACGTCTGATTTGTAAAATCCATTAAAGGATTCAGGATTAAGTGATTTTTCTTAATATCTAGTTGGTTTCCAGTGATTAGGTCTATAATATCTTTCAAGGAGACGGATTTGTTTCTTTTTCAGAACAAACTTTCCTTATATATTGTCTTGTTCTATGAAAGTTGAAATGAATAATCTTTATTACATATTTATATTTAATTTAAAATTTATAAATATACTCTAGCATGTAACATCATTTTTCAGGTAAAATTTTACTTGGTCAAATTTCAAGTAAGCCCGTGGAAATAGGTTTATAAGGGAAATAAAAGAGTTACATGGTGGGGGTGGGGGGAACCTATCTTGATTATTCATCATGTTTGAAGTCTAATTAAAATATATAACAATACTTAACACTGTGCAAAATCAGGTCATATTAATATCTTCTTTCTAATAGGCCTATAAACATGAAAACAGGAAACAAGTGTCTGTGTATATGTGTGTATATATATATTTTAAATTTTTTGTTCTCTTTTGAGATGGGAGTCTTATCCTGTCACCCAAGCTGGAGTGCAGTGACGTTATCTCAGTTCACTGCCACCTCCTCCTCCTGGGTTCAAGCGATTCTCCTGCCTCAGCCTCCCAAGTAGCTTGAACTACAGGCATGCGCCACTATGCCCACCCAATTTTAGTGTTTTTAGTAAAGACGGGGTTTTGTCATGTTGGCCAGTCTGGTCTTCAACTCCTGACCTCAGGTGATTCGCCTGCCTCGGCCTCCCAAGGTGCGGGATTTCTAATCCCACGGTGGCCTGAGCCACCCTGCCCAGCTGTATATATATATATTTTTAATGGACCCTTTTCCTGTTGGTGAAAACTTGCTTAACGTATCAACTGGTATGATACAATGTTAAATGATTGGATTGGTCTTCTGTAATTATAGTTGACTTCAATTAGAGTAGGCGTATGCAAAGCCTGTGCCAGTTAATCACTGGATAGGCAGGGATCTCAAGCATACTATGAGAGAAAAACTTGGTCATTTCCCTACTCATAAAAATGAGTGTCAGATCAATATTTGTCTTTTAGGGTAGTGACGTAGATTCGCTGGAGTATAACTCCATGAGAGTAGGGAAATTGTTCATGGCTGTATTTGTTCACTATCTAGAACAGTGCCTGGAATGTATTAGGCATAAAATAAATACATTGGTTTTATGCAGACAAAATCATTTTATGATGCAGAATGCTCTTAAGTTGCACAACAGAAAGGAGTTCTCGGACTTAAAATCCTCCGACGTATCAAAGGTGTTAACTGGCAATCTCCATATTACCCTCCCTTTCTTCCTACTTCTTTCCCTGTTATTCATGAATGTATACTACTTCTGCTAATGTTCTTTACCTTTACATCATAAGATCATCAGAGATTATTTTCTGCCATGAGGCAGTTCTGTTCAGTTATTTATTAAACAATTATTGAGTCCCTGCTCTGGACCGGGCATCTGTGCTAGGCACAGAAAACAGAGCCTGCTGAATGGCTGTTGGGCTCACAGATCTACCTGAAGTTTGATGTGATATGCAGAGGTGATCACTAAATTGTTTTTTAGGATCCTAGAGATGTTATGACAAAAACTTGGGAGAATTATTAAGAAAGGAAGATATTTTTCTTTCTGAATACTTTTCTGACATTTTACAAACATTTGTGACATTTTTAAAAGAAGCAAAGACCCGTTGTATTTGTTATGAATATAAAGATTTTAAAAATCATGTCAGACATTTAATTGCTCAGACACATAAAATCCAAATACAATTAAATTACCCTGATTTATAAAAATTAGACCTAAGAATTTGAATAAAGTTTTACAGAAATTGAGATGTTTAATTTATATATTTTATCCCAAACAAAATCATTTTTTATGAACCTAATGCAGCTAGACACTTTATTTTACAGTTTATTTGTACATACCTTTAATTATGAGGTATAACTTCAGTTCTTTAAAACTAAAAGTGCTTTTAAAAGTTTACAGTGTCCATCCTCAAGTTTTATTAATCTGTAAACTAAATTTTCCCATTCCTTGACCACTCGATACTCCACTTCTGTCTCCCCCACCCAAGGAACCTTGCCAAGTTAGCTATAAAGTTAATTTATTGGCAAAGCCAAGAACACGAATGCACCTTTTCAGTCAGAGCAGCCTACTGATAGCAGGGCGAATCCGGGCCAAAAAGCAGGGACATTTTAAAATGTAGGCAAAGATAATCCACTAGCTCAGGCTAAGAGTTTGGTTATTTAAACAGGCAGAAAAAGGTGAAGAAATATTTGCAGAAATTTTGTGAATTGAAGTAGGGGCTTCTGAATCTTCATCTAGAATGATTTTATTTTTACAAAGAGCAGTTTTTAAATGTTATAGGTACCTTTTTTGCTAAGTTTAGTTTGCCTTTACCAAGGGAGGATTATGGTTGGGGTCTATGTGTGTGTGTGTTTGACTTTTAATTGCAAAGTATCGAATTCTCATTGAACAGTTATGTAACTGTAAGCCTCAACTTTTTTTCTTTTCTTTCCCACTGCCCGCCTTCAAGGATTAACTAAATTAACTACCAGATTATGTATCTGGATATCTGGACAGAGGGATGCCTGAGAAGTAATCTTAATCCTTTTGGTTCTAAGTCAGCATAACTTCTGGAAAATGTTTTGGGTAAATAAAGGGAAACCATAGCACAAATACTGGAAACGTTTGCCAGCATCAAAGGAGAAGTTTAAACTCCTAACTGGAAGACACCATTTAGTCACCTCGCTGACTGATACTTATTGAGCACTTACTATGTGCCAAACGTTACACCTGGCACCGTAGAAGGAAACAGACACCTCTGCTCTTGTAGCATCAAATAGTCTCTGAGGTCCAAGATAGCAGAAATTTGGGGAAGCAAACATAAAGTACTAATCGAAGACCTGTGAGGCCCTGGAGAGAACTGTATTCTTGAGCAGACAGCAGTCTCCGAATTCTCTTGGGAACCTAGGAACACTTAAATAGGTATTCAGATGTGCAGTGAGTCAGAACTATGGAAGGCAGATTTTGAAAGATGAGTTAGAAAGCAGGGGATAGTTCATCTTCCTAGTAAGCATTTTAAAACTTCTTAACTGTATAATTAAACTAATGCGAATGTGATTGGATCTTTTCAGCAGCCTAATTCTCTCTTTCAGGTCAGTATTTTGTAGCATGTCTCTGTCCCTTCTCTTAAAAAAGTTCTAAAGGCATTGGTGTGTGCTGTGGATTTTACGTGTGTGTGCGTGCGTGCGTGTGTGTGTGTGTGTGTGTGTGTGTGTGTGTGATCCCCTTAAAATAGTCTGTTCCCCCTTCAGGAATGAAGGCCTTAAAATCTGCCCACTGCTGGGATGGGAGTGCTACTGGCAGGCAATCCTCAGGCATCAGCCCCTTTAGGAAGTACACCAGCCAATGACAGCTGCTTTGCTCAATGTTATGCCCTTAGTCAAGGCCTGGTTGATGTGGATGTGTAAAGGCTCGGCTCCCTCACAATTCTGAAGGGGCATCCAGTGCCAGAACTCCCTAAGGGATTGGCTGAGCCTTCACTGAGATTACATCTTAGTTCAGCTTCCCTTTCTTCTCTACCGTGTTTCCTATGAGTACTTCCTAACAAAACTAAGTGCATGCTGATCTTCATCTCAGAGTCGACTTCCCAAGGAGTCCCACTTGCACCATATGGCGTACCCAGAAGAGATAAGGGATTTGTAGAGAGGAGGAGGTCCTTTTCATGAATAGCTTCAATAAGAGCTATCTTTGCATCTCTTCCCATCAGGGACTGAAGGGATATAGGAGGACTGTGGCAGGTAAACTAGAGCTGCTGTCAGGGTCTAGGCTTAGGACAAGGGCAATGAAAGGTCTCAGCCACATCAAAACTAAGTCTTAGGGTTAAAAGCACTACTTGGGAGTCAGAGAGATTTGAGTACAAATCATGTCTGACTTTTGGATGAGTTATTTAAATACTTTAAACCTCAATGTTCTCATCTGTAAAATAGGAGTAATAAAATTTACTTCACGTATTTCTGGTGATGATTAAATAGCATTTGCTATGACATGATTGAGTGCTCAAATTTATTTTCATTGGCATTTTAGTTATTAAAAGCTTGTATATTCAGAGCCTATTCACACAGAGCAACCGAGAGAAGAGCTTTGAGGTGTCATCCAGCTGCCCAGCTCTCTGGGGTCTGACAATGCAAGGGCAGAACCCACAGTAGTGGCTGCCACCTGGGCTGAGAAACCTATCCTGGGATCCTGTTATACCTTGACCCTTATTCTGTCTTCCTTGAGTCAAATGTGGCTACCAAAGTTGGGCCACCAGGGCCTGGATGAAAACACTCTACAGCTGGAAAGAGTCCTGTATGTTCTTTCTTTTTTCTTTTTTTGAGACAGAGTCTTGCTCTGTTGCCCAGGCTGGAGTGCCGTGGCGCAATCTTGACTCATTGCAACCTCCACCCCCGCTGCTGCCGCCCCACTGCTGCCTAGGGTCAAGCCATTCTTGTGCCTCAGCCTCCTGAGTAGCTGGAATTATAGGCGTGAGCCACCATGCCCAGCCCAGACCTGCTTTCAAATTAAAGGACTATTTCTCCACTGCCATCTTAGGCAAGAGTGGAGACTTTGTAGGGTCTAAAAGGTTTCTCAAAAAGCATTGCTGAGCAGAGGATCCTAGAGATGGAGCCTAAGCCGTGTGCCCAGCAAGTCTAGAGGGCAGGCCGAGGGGTCTGTGACCTTCGTATCAAAGACCATGGACCCTCGTGGAAAACAACATCCCAGGAGAGTAGAGAGTATGGTCAGTTAAGAAATCTGGTCTAAGGACCAGTGGTGGAGGAGGGTCACCTGATTTCAACACAGCATTATCATGTGGTCCTTCTCCAACTTTTCCAAGGATTGGTTTATGATCCACAAAGAAGAGGAAATAGAAGGAATCTACATCGAGCATATAATTTCTTCTGTCTCTTACATTTAACAAATAGCCATTATCTATGTGATTTTTGCATTCTTCTTGATATGTCACAATCATTTACCATTTAAATGGTTTAACTATTTCATTCTTGCCCTCAAATCTAGTAAAATGTAGGCTCCAGAAGGTTTTGCCATCTATACCCATGGTCTCTCTCTCCCCAGCAGCACACCATCTTGAATCCTTGGGGAAGCAAATGCTCCAGTTTGAAGTGCACAGACTTAGTGCATGCTCTTACTCATTGTTCTCAGTGTAGCCCTTATGGACTTGTGTCCAAGAAAGAGAAATGGGACTGATTATTCACATAAAACAGCTGTTTCACCAAAGTATCCATTCCTTAAACTGAGGGCACGAGGGCTTGGCAATGAGTAGCCCTGCCGTATTGGTGCTGGTAAAGCGTTCTTGTTCCATATCACCTTGAGAAGTTATAGACCACAGGATGCAGAGGCAGCAGAAAGTGGTGATGGCAATGCAGAACATCTAGAAGCACAAGCAAGGCACTCTGGGAAACCCCTCATTCTTACAGGGAGTAACACAGAAGGGATATGGAGCTAGAGTTTACATTATGCTGCAGATTGCTAGGGTGGACCAGAGACAACCTGTTTTGTGAGATATTCTGGTGATCCTTTGTGCCTGCCCTTTCCCCAGGATGTTAAGACTTGAGCACGTAGCACCCTCAAGCTCTTGGATGCTTCCAACTTGTTTCAGTGGAAACTATTCAGAAGTACCTATTTGACATATTCACAAATTCATTTTAGGCGAAAGCTTGTTGATTAGCCAAAAATCTCAATGTGAATGCCTCTCAAACATAGCAGCAACTAAATACTGGAATATATGAAGGCAGTAACAGAGTCCGGTGTAATGTCAGGCCTTCTACTTGCCGTTTGGGGGCATTCTGAGAGCAGAGAAGGGATCTTAAAGAGAGTGGCTTCCAAGCCCTGTTCCCCACATTCCAGTTCTCGCCATTCCTGTCTCATAGCTGATGAGGGAGAAGATAGACTTTATAAGTATAAATTCTTGGGCTGGAATGATTTCTAACAGGTTTCTCTGCCTCTGCCACCCTTCTCTCAGATCTACTATGGTGGGGATTTAGGTAAAATGAAATAATTGCAGTAGAAGAGGGGAAAATGCAATAGCCCTAAAAGGAAGCAACAATCAAATTTAACCTATGGGCAGGCATGGTGGCTTAGGCCTATAATTCCAGCACTTTGGGAGGCTGAGCTGGGAGGATCAGTTGCTTGAGGCCAGGAGTTCACCAGCCTGGGCAACATAGCAATACCCCGTCTCTACAAAATAAATAAAAAGTAACAATTTATCTTAGAATATATACAAATAATATGAATTTATCCAGAGGTACTTGTGACTTGTTGCTGTTGATAATTGACACATGAAAGTTTGCAAGTGTTTAATAAATTAGAGTCAACAGCATCCCTATAATAATGTCACTTGAGCTGACTTGATTCTGATACCCTTTCCTATTTGAAAGAGAAATGGATAAGGTTCCAGCTGACCCTCCAGAAACTTAGCAAGGCAGTATGTCACACCATAACAATTATCCGTTGAGTATTGAGGCAGAAAAAATTCCTGAGAGCTCCTGGGACTGAATTGGGAAGCAAGGATCATGATTTTTCTTCTAGTCTGGTCCTGGCTCTTAGATGCTCCCATTTTATTTTTGGAGACATTGTTCAGGAGTAGCTATTTGACATATTTAAAAATTCAATTGAGGAAGAAAGAATATTGATTGAGTCAGGAATTCCTAATTAAAAACATAAGGAAAACGAAATTGGAGATTAGTATTTTTCAGGGTCTTTTCTAAACAACCTATTTCTTCTGCCCTTTAACCAAAAGAACAACTAAGGGTAATGAAACACTTACCAGTTTGCCACAGCAGTGAGGCAATCAAGGGCAGTATGCAATGTGATGTGAGTCAAAACTATGGCCCAAGATATCTTTTATTGGTAGAGCAGTTCTCCTCTTTCTTGGTTTTGTTTTTAGATGGGTACCTTAAATGGTTTTCGATCTGGGTACCTCAGATTTTTTTTTTAACTGACATGGTGTATTTGTTAAAGGATTTTGACCCTACATTATTACTGTAAGCCAGAGGCTAGAAGGAACCACAGAATGTGGAAGCATAGTACAGCATCTTACATAGTAGTTAATAACATAGGCTTTCGCATTAGAAAGTCTTAGTTCAAACTGTGATGCAGTCACTTAACAGCTTTGTGATCCTGGAGAGTTTAATCGCTCAGGGCACTGGTTTTCTTTTTTTTTTTTCTTCTTTTTGGAGATGGAGTTTCACTCTTGTCGCCCAGGCTGGAGTGCAATGGCACGATCTTGGCTCACCGCAACCTCCGCCTCGCGAATTCAAGTGATTCTCCTGCCTCAGCCTCCCCAGTAGCTGGGGTTATAGGCGCCTGCCACCACGCCCAGCTAATTTTTGTATTTTTATTAGAGAGCGGGTCTCGCCATGTTGGCCAGGCTGTCTTGAACTCCTGACCTTGGGTGATCCACCCGCCTCGGCCTCCCAAAGTGCTGGGATTACAGGTGTGAGCCACCGTGCCCGGTAGGTGGCTGTAAAATTAAGAGAATAATAACTGTCCTTACTTCATAAGAAAATGGAGATGATTAAATGAAACAGTGCAGGTAACATCCTTAGAAGAGGATGTGACCCAGAGTAAGTATTTCATACGTGTGAGTTGCTTGTATTACTATTATACGTGGAAAATATCAGCACTTTTATTTTGCAAAATAAAAAACAAGGACTTATTATTTTAACTTGAAGATCTGAACATTATGTTAATTTCCAAAATAGGAATTTGGGCAAGAAAATTGGACTTTGGACATGAGGTCATCTTTGCAATGGATACCAACTCAGAATTTGTAGAGCTTTTAGCTGACGTGGTTATCCTGCACTCTCAGCCTGAGATCTGTTGTCTGACAGGAAGGGCTACATTTCTTATTGAAGAGCTCTAAGGATCCTAGTTAACACGCTTGCTCCACCTGGATTGAGTTACTAATGTTCCTTACAGGGCTCTCTTCCTCAAGTTAGATGCTTACTACTCATTGATGGAAATGAAATATTTCCTTCTACATTTATTTCGCCCTTCAGAGTTAGAACCTCTTTAATAAAGCAAATGGCTGGCAGCTTTTTAAAAAATTACATTTCTAGTTTATGAGGATGGAGTGTGTACACCTTTTAAAATTTTTTACTTTGAAGTAATTTCCAATTTACAGAAAATTTGCAAAAGTGGTACAAAGAACTATATGTCCTTCACTGAGATTTGCCTATTGTTAACTTTACCACTTTTGCCTTATCATTCTTTCTCTCTCTCTGTATTATTTTTTTCTGAACCATTTGAAAGTTATAGACATGACACACATTGCCCCAATACTTCAGTGTATATTTCCTAAAAATAAAGACTCTTTGTTACATAACCATAGGAAACTAATGTTGAACAATACTATTACCTAACCCATAGATCACATTAAAATTTGTCCTAACATAGCTTTTATAGGTCCAAAATCCAATCTAGGGTCATAGGTTACTTTAAAATGTCATTTCTCTTTAGTCTCCCTCATTTTTTCCTTATCTTTTGTGACATTGACAGTTTTTAAAATTTGCTGTGTGAAATATTCTTCAATTTGAAATGCAAATCAAAACCACAATGAGATACCATCTCACACTAGTAAGAATGACTATTATTCAAAAAACAACAGATGCTGGTGAGGCTGTGGGAAAAAGGGAACACTTATACATTGTTGGTGGGAATGTAAATGATTAGTTCAGCCACTGTGGAAAGCAGTTTGGAGAGTTCTTAACTTAAAACAGGCCAAGCATGGTGGCTCACACCTGTAATCCCAGCACTTTGGGAGGCTGAGGTAAGAGGATCACTTCAGCCCAGGAGTTCAAGACCAGCCTAGCCTGAGCAACAAAGTGAGACCCCCCCACACCACTTTACAAAAAAAAAAAAAATTAGCTAGGCATGGTGCCATGCACTTGTAGTCCCCACTACTTGGGAGGCTGAGGTGGGAGGATTGCTTGAGGTCAAGGCTGCAGTGAGCCATGATTGCACCACTACACGCCAGCCTGGGCAATAAAATAAGACTTTTTCTCAAACAACAACAACAACAACATCAACAAACAAACAAAACAGAACTACCATTCGACCCAGCAATCTCATTACTGGGTATATACCCAAAGGAGTATAAATCCTTCTACCGTAAAGAAATTTGCAAGCATATGTTCATTGCAGCAGTATTCACAATTGCAAAGACATGGAATCAACTTAGGAGCCTATCAGTGGTGGACTGAACAAAGAAAATGTGGTAGACATACTCCACAAAATACTATGCTGACATAAAAAAGAACAAAGTCATGTCCTTTGCAGCAACATGGATCTAGCTGGAGGCCATTATTTTAAGCGAATTAATGCAGGAACAGAAAAGCAAATACTGCATGTTTTTATTTATAAGTGGGAGCTAAACATTGAGTACTCATGGACATAGAGATGGCAACAGTATAAACTGGGGACTACTGGTGGGGGAGGGAGAGAGGAGAGCAAGTGTTGAAAAACTACTGGGGACTATAATCAGTACGTAGGTGACAGGATCATTGGTACTGCAAACCTCAGCATCATGGAGTATACCCAGTCATCATACCTGCACATGTACCTCCTGAATCTAAGATAGAAAAAAACAAGGGTGGAAATCATGAAAATAAAATATTCCTCAATTTGAGTTTGTCTGATGTTTTCTGATGATTAGATTCAGATTATGCATTTTTGGCAGAAATACTACAGAAATGATGTTGTGCACTTCTCAATACATAATATTAGGAGGCACATGATATTCGTCCTCCTACTGTCGTTGTTCACTTTTATTACTTTGTTAAGATGATGTCTGCCAAGTTACTCTAATATAAAATTAATAACAATTATGTACATATTTATTAATAAGCAATGAATAAATATATTGTGGAGAGATTCTTTAAGAGTATATAAATATCTTGCTCATCAAATTTTCACTCATTAGTTTTAGCATCCATTGATGATTCATGACCGAATCAATTGTTACCACGAAAGTTGCTAAATGGTAATTTTTTAATTCCTACATTATGATTTGGCATTTTGTTGTAAGGTAGAGTTTTCCTTTTCCTCCCATTTCATTATATTTTCATTCCTTTATTTATATAAATATGGACTCAAGGATTTTTACCTTGTTCAATGTGTATTACCTGTTAGTATTATTATTTATTAGCCTCTTTGAGCTGGCTCATATGTTCTTTTGACATGTCCCCATCATTCTTTGAGCACTGACTTTCTGGTACAACAAGAAGTTCTAGTCTTATTGGCCATTTCCCTATCAAAGCCCTGGATTCAGTCATTTGTTTAGAGTTCTGGCTCTTTTTAGTGAAGAACGTTATTTATAAGCCATGATCTCGGTGTTCATTGCTATTGGGGTGTCATTGCTTTTAGGCCTTCTCAGAAGACTAGAAAATATATTTATACACACACACTCACACGCACTCACATACATACACACATACACATCTTTCTGTATCCATCTATCTATCTGTCTTTGTTAAAAACTGATACCTTCAATTCCAATCCAATATCACAGGGTTTATCTTAGCCTCTTTTACCTACTTATAACTTCCTGGTTCCGCACTGAAAAATCTGGCTCCCATTAGCCTCAATACATTTATTTAGATGACGGATACCAACGTCCCGAGGATGCAGGCTGCCTCTTTGGCCCCGGCCCCACTGACCATGCTAAATATGTTGGCCAAATTTTTGCCCCAATTAAGGGAAATGGAAGGGGAAAAGATGGTGTATACATTTTTCTTTAATTGAGCCTGAAATGGAAGTTCTGCTGCTCAGTGTAATGTAAAGTATTTTTCCTACTTACCTCCAATTCAAAGTTCAAAACAGACAAGTAAAACACCAAAATGAGATGTTCACATTCAATTGTTATAGCTAGTGATTGACTTGGCAAGTGATTATCTACTGTGCTTATTCTTATTATCAGAGACTGATATAATACCTACTCTACTGAAGCCATTAAAGTCAATCATTTTATTGCATAATGGACAGATCTACCTATTTTAGTGCAACCAATGCACTTGATTAATGTGGGTAGTTGCTTGATGACTTGTGATATGGGGAAAAAAAATTTTTTTTTAATGTGGTTAGAAATCCAAAGCAAATTTTAAGGTCTTTTGCTACCAGGTTACAGTTCTTAGGTTGCACTGCCTTTTTAAAGTTATAACTAATATTTGAGAATTAAGCATTTCAATATACTTAAACATCGTCCTGGATGGAAGTATTATCTCTTGTATATAGTTCTTGAAGCCTTTAGTACTTTGGATGATAACCTTGAATTTGCTCAACCAGCCCTCACTTTTGTGATCAAGAAAAAACCTGTAGTGCTTGTTAACAGTGCTGATCTCTGGGCCCACCCCCAGATTCGGATTAAGTAGCTCTGGGGAAAGTCTGCATTTTAATGAGATCCTCAGGAGGTTCAGGAGCAAGTGGCCAAGGGACCACAGCGAGAAACACTGGGTTAACATATTTTCAATCAAACCCAGAAGAGTTCCAAAGCTGTGGTCAGTCATTTCTGGTCATATGCAAGGTTGAATTGGTCATTAAGACCCAATAAAGCTTTCAAAATTTAGCAAATCAATGTGTTGACACTTGGCTGCCAAAGCCTGTAATTATAGGACAAATGTGTTGGTTTGTTCATCAACTTTCATGTGTCAAGGCTGTGCTAGTGTGTCTTGAAGGCGTGGCGCCAAAGTTAGAACTCTGGTAGCCCAGACAGAGCTAGTAGCAAGCTGTCTCCCAGGGTGCCAACCTGATGGGCCAAGCCTTCAAGCAGAAACATATTTGGGTTTGACTGGCTAGTGTGCTTATTAAGTAGGACTGAGAAGTGACTAGGGACAGACTGAGGACATGTGCACCACAGTTGCTGGTGAAAGTCTGTTTTCTTCTTCATAGGATAAGGACAGATGACTGAATAAATTATACTCTTCTGCAGAAAGAAAGCAAATGATTAGTCAGCTCTTACTTAATCGGCTACGCTAAGTGCTTTCACAGAGTACTGCATTCGATCGTAATAAATCACCTGGTGGATAGGTGCCTTTATCATCAATCCCACAGATGAGGAAAGGGGAGGGTGGAGCAAGATGGCAGAAGAGAAGGCTCCACAGATTGTCCCCCACCCCCTCTGCAAGGACACCAATTTAACAACTACATACACACACACACACACACACACACACACACACACACACACAACACCTTTATCAGAATCAAAAATCAGGTGACCACTCAGTACCTGGTTTTGGTTTGTATCACAGTATGAGGCACTGAAGAGGTGGAAAAAACAGCCTTGAATCACCGATGCCACCTCTTCCTCATCCCCTGTGGTGGCAGCATGTGCAGAGAGCATCTCCAGATACTGGGGAGAGAGAGCACAGCGACTGTGAGGCATTGAACTCAGTTCTGTCCTGTTAGAACAGAAAGGAAACTGGACCAAACTTAGCTGATGCCTGCCCACGGAGGGTGCATTTAAACCAGCCCAAGCCAGGGGGATTTCTGATCCCAATGGTATGAACTTGAGTTCCCACAAACCTTGCCACCAAGGGCTAAGGTGATTAGGGGCTCTAAAAAAACTTGAAAGGCAGTCTGAACCACAAGAACTGCAACTTTTAGATGAGTCCTAGTGCTGAACTGGGCCCAGAGTCAGAGGACTGAAGGGGCACGTGATGTACTGAGACATCAGCTGGGGTGTCTACGGGAGTGCTGGCATCACCCCTCCCCAACCCCAGGCTGCATAGCTCATGCTCCAAAAGAGACCCCTTCCTTCTGCCTGAGGAGAGGAGAGGGTAGAGTGGGAGGACTTTGTCTTGCATCTTGGATGCCAGCCGAGCCACAGCAGGATAGGGCACTGATCAGAGTTTGAGGCCCCCATTCCAGGCTCTAGCCCCTGGATTACATTTCTAGACACACCCTGGGCCAGAAGGGAACCTTCAAGGAAAGGTTCCTTGAAGGAAAGGACCCAGTTCTGGCAGAATTCACCACTTGCTAACTGAAAAACCAGCAGTGATACCCAGGTACTACATCGAGGGCCTTTGGTGGAACTCTGAAACTTTCTGGCTTCAGGCGAGACTCAGCACATTCCCAGCTGTGGTGGCTCTGGGGCAAGACTCCCTCTGCTTGAGAAAAGCAAAGGGAAAAGTAAAGGAGACTTTGTCTTATACCTTAAGGTACCACATCAGCCACAGCAGGGGAGAGCACCAAGTGGGCTCTTGGGGTCCCCAATTCCAGGCCTAGGCTCTTGGATGGCATTTCTGAACCTGCTCTGGGTAGGAGGGGAGCCCACTGCCTGGAAGGGTGAGTTCCAGGGCAGGCAGCATTCACCACAAGCTGACTGAAGAGCCCATGGACCTTAAGGGAACATTGGTCTTAGTCTGGCAGTAGTCCTCATGGGCCTGTGGTGGCGTCCAAGGGGTGAGGCTCCTCTACCATTGGAAAGACAAGGGAAGAGTGGGAAGAACTGTCTTGTGGATTGAGGGCCAGCTCAGCCTCAGTACAATAGAACACCAGTTAGACTTCTAAAGTTTTTGACTCTAGTCCCTAGCTCCCAAATGGCACCTCTGGACCTACCTGGGGCCTAGGTGAACTTGCTGTTTTGAAGGGAAGGACAGAGGCCTGGCTTTGCCATCTGTTGATTGTGGAGTCCTAGGGCCTTGAGCAAACATAGGCAGTAGCAAGAGAGTGGTTACAGGAGGCCTTGGACGAGACCCGGTGCTGTGCTTGCTTCAGGTCTGACCCAGCACAGTCCCAGTGGTGGTGGCCACAGGGCTGTTACAGCTTCAAGTGGCTCAAAACAGGGGTTAGGAAGGAGAAGGGGGCAGCTCCTTGTTTTGGAGAAAGTAAAGGAGGAGAATAAGAGTCTGCCTGGTAATCCAGAGAAATCTCCCGGATCTTGTTGAAGACTATCAAGGTGGTACATCTATGAGTCTGCAAGGACCACAGCATTGCTGGGCTTGGGTCCAGCTTAGATCACAGCACTCAAGTTCTTTCAAATATCTAGAAAGCCTTCCCAAGAAAGACAGGTACAAATACGCCCAGATAGTGAAGACTACAATGAATACCTAACTCTTCAGTGTCAAGACACAGACAGATATCTACAAGTATCAGGACAATCCAGGAAAACATGACCTCACCAAATGAACTAAATAAGGCACCAGGGACCAATTTTGGAGAAACAGGGATATGTGACTTTTCAGACAGAGAATTCAAAATAGCCATTTTGAGGAAACTCAAAGAAATTCAAGATACCATAGATGAGGAAAGGGAAATGAGTGTGAAGTTTGCATGTGATCGTGTGATCACACAGCTAATAAGTATCATGAAGAGCTTTGACAGTTGGTCTTTTGTCTTTAAATTCAGTACTTTGTGCAATAAACACTATACTGGGAAACATCTTGTATTTTGACTTTGTTTTTTCTCCCCAGAGGTAGCTATTCAGGAAAACCGAGACACTGTCTTATATGAAGGTGTAAGGCTAGGTAGACCTGTGACATAAGCCTAACAATAGCCTCCTTCTATGACTTGCCACAACTTAAATAGAATCCCATTGAGATATCGATTCACAATATTCTTCTGCCTTGTTTGGGATACAGAGGGACAAGATTGTCTGTAAATTGCATGTATTAAGGCAAAATAGTGATTTATAGCTACTACATGTATCCTCACATTGCTGCAGAAAAATCATTACGTGCCAATAACAGAGGGTCTCAGACTCCAGGTAGGAACTTCTTCTGAATTAAATTTATATTGAATAAGCTTACTCTATGGGGCTGTGAAGATGAAATGAGATAATCCATGTAATATGCTTGGCATGATGGCTGGTGCAGACTAAGTAATTGACACTAATATTATCAATAGTAATATTATCAATATTAATGTTAGCCATAATTGTTTTAAACATGTTATTATCACTAAAGAATGTAAGAATACATTCTCTATACATTATTTGGTTTATTAAAATGTTTCTTTTTAATTTTTTATTTTTGTGCATGCAAAGTAGGTGTATATATTTATGGGGAACATGATATATTTTGATACAGGCATACAATGCATAATAATCACATCAGGGTAAATGGAGTTCTCATCACCTCAAGTATTTATCCTTTGTGTTACAAACAATCCAATTATACTCTTAGTTATTTTAAAATATACAATAAAATTATTATTGACTATGGCACCCTGTTGTGCTATCAAATACTAGATCTTATTCATTGTTTATCTTTTTGTACCCATTAGCCATTCTCACTTCCCCCGGACCCCTCACCTTTCCCAGCCTCTTATAAGCATCATTCTACTCTCCGTGAGTTCAGTTGTTTTAATTTTTAGCTCCCAAGAATAAGTGAGACCATAAAAAGTTTGTTTTTCTGTGCCTGGCTTATTTCACTTAGCATGATGACCTCCAGTTCCATTCATGTTGTTGCAAATGACAGGATATCATTCTTTTTTATGGCTGACTAGTACTCCATTGTGTATATGTACCATGTTTTCTTTATCCATTCATCAGCTGATGGACACTTAGGCTGCTTCCAATCATAGCTATTGTGAATAGTGCTGCAGTAAACATGGGAGTGCAGATATACTGATTTCCTTCAATATACTGATTTCCTTTCTTTTGGGTTTATATCTAGGAGTGGGATTCCTGAATCATATGGTAGCTCTATTTTTAGTTTTTCGGGGAAACTCCAAACTGTTCTCCATAGTGATTGTACTAATTTACATTCTCAACAACAGTGTACGAGGGTTCCCTTTTCTCCACATTCTTGCCAGTATTTGTTGTTGCCTGTCTTTGGATAAAAGTCATTTTAACTGGGGCGAGATAATATTTCATTGTAGTTTTGATTTGCCATTTCTCTGATGATCAGTGATGTTGAGCACCTATTTACATGCCTGTTTGCCATTTGTGTGTCTTCTGAAAAATGTCCATTCAGATCTTTTGCCCATTTTTGAATCAGATTATTAGATTTTTTTCTATAGAGTTGTTTGAACTCCTTATATATTCTAGTTATTAATCCCTTGACAGATGGGTAGTTTGCAAATATTTTCACTCATTCTGTGGGTTGTCTCTTCACTCTGTTGATTGTTTCCTTTGCTGTATAGAAGCTTTTTAACTTGATGTGATTGCATTTGTCCATTTTGGCTTTGGTTGCCTTTGCTTGTGTGGTATTACTCAAGAAATCTTTGCCCAATCCAATTTCCAATGTTTTCTTGAAAAAGTTTTATAGTTTGAGGCCTTAGATTTAAGTCTTTAACACATTTTGATTTGATTTTTGTATATAGCCAGAGAATAGGGGTCTAGTTTTATTCTTCTGCATATAGATATCCAGTTTTCCTGGCACCATTATTGAAGAGGCTGTCCTCTCCCCAGTGTATGTTCTTGGCACTTTTGTCAAAAATGAGTTCACCTTAGATGTATAGATTTGTTTCTGGGTTCTCTATTCTGTTCCATTGGTCTATGTGTCTGTTCCTATGCCAGTACCATGCTGTTTTGATTACTATAGCTCTGTAGTACAATTTGAAGTCAGGTAATGTGATTTCTCCAGTTTTGTTTTTGCTCAAGATAGCTTTGGCTATTCTGGGTCTTTTGTGGTTCCATATAAATTTTAGGATTGTTTTTTCCATTTCTGTGAAGAATGTCATTAGTATTTTGATAGGTATTGAATCTGTTGATTACTTTGGGTAAAATGAACATTTTAACAATATTCATTCTTCCAATCCATGAACATGGAATATCTTTCCATTTTGTTGTGTCTTCTTCAATTTCTTTCATCAGTGTTTTATAGTTTACATTATAGAGATCTTTCACTTCTTTGGTTAATTCCTAGGTATTTAATTTCATTTGTAGGTCTTGTAAATGGTACTTCAAAAAATTTCTTTTTCAGCTTGTTTGCTTTTGGCACATAGAAATGCCACTGATTTTTGTATGTCAATTTTGTATCCTGCAATTTTACTGAGTTTGTGTATTAGTTCTAATAATTTTTTTTTTTGGTGGAGTCTTTAGGTTTTTCCAAATATGAGATTATATCTCCTGCAAACAAGGATAATTTGCCTTCTTCCTTTACAATTTGAATGCCCTTTATTTCTTTCTCTTGTTGGAAGTTAGGACTTCTAGTATTATGTTGAATAACAGTGGTGAAAATGAGCATTCTTATCATGTTCCCGATCTTAGAGGAAAGGCTTCTAGTTTTTCCCCATTTGGTACGATACTAGCTGTGGGTCTGTCATATATGGCTTTTACTCTGTTGAGGTATGTTTCTTCTATACCCAGTTTTTTTTTTTTAGGGTTTTATCATGAAGAGATGTTGAATGTTAACAAATGCTTTTTCAGCATTGATTGAAATGATCATATGATTTTTGTCCTTCATTCTGTTGATATGTTTTATCACATGGATTGATGTGCATATGTTGAGCCATCCTTGCAGCCCTGGGATAAATCTGACTTGGTCATGATGAATGATCTTTTTAATGTCTTCTTAAATTTGGTTTGCTAGTAGTTGCTGAGAATTTTTGCATCAGTGTTCATCAGGAATATTAGCCTGTAGTTTTCTTTTCTTGATGTGTATTTGTCTGGCTTTGGTATCAGGGTAATACTGTCCTCATAGGATAAGTATGAAAGTATTTCCTCCTCTTGTACTTTTTTTATAGATTGAGTAGGATTCATATTCTTCTTTAAATGTTTGTTAAAATTCAGCAATAAAGCCATCAGATTCTGGGCTTTTTTTTTTTTTTTTTTTTGCTGGGAGACTTTTTATTATGGCTTTGATCTCATTTGTTATTGGTCTGTTCAGAGTTTGTATTTCTTCATGGGTCAGTCTTAATAAGTTGTATGTGTCTAGGAATTTATCAATGTATTCTGGGTTTTTCAATTTATTGACATGTAGTTGCTTATAGTGGCCTCTAGTGATCTTTTGAATTTTTGCCTTATCAGTTGTAATATCTCATTTTTAACCTGTGATTTTATTTATTTGGGTCTTCTCTCTTTTTTCCTTAGTTGTTTGGGCTAAAGGTTTGTCTATTTATCTTTTTAAAAAACTAACTTTTTGTTTTGTTGATTTTTAATTTTAATTTTATTTATTTTTGCTCTGATCTTTATTATATCTTTTCTTCTATTAATTTTGAGTTTGGTTTGCTCTTGCTTTTCTAGTTCTTTAAGGTGCATGGCTCTATTGTTTATTTGAAGTTGTTTTACTTTTATATATATGTGCTTATAGCTATAAATTTCCCTCTTAGTACTGCTTTTGCTTTATCCCATAGATTCTGGTATGTTGTGTTTTCATTATCATTTATTTCAAGAAAATTTTGTTTTCTTCTTAACTTCTTCATTTACCCACTGGTCATCCAGGAGTATATTGTTTTAATTTCCATGTGTTTGTATACTTTTCAAAATTTCTTTTGTTACCAATTTCTAGTTTTATTCCATTGTGTTCAGAGAAGATACTAGGTATTATTTCAATTTTTTTAAATGTTTTAAGACTTGCTTTGTGGCCTAACATGGGCTATCCTTGAGAATGATCCATGTGTTGAGGAGAAGAACATGCATTCTGCAGTCATTGGATGAAATGTTCTGTAAATATCTGTTAGGTCCATTTGATCTGCAGTGTACATTTAGTCTGATGTTTCTTTGTTGATTTTTGGTCTAGATGATCTGTCCAATGCTGAGAGTGGGGTGTTAAAGTTTCTACGTATTATCGTATTGCCCGGCTAATTTTTATATTTTTAGTATAGACGGGGTTTCACCATGTTGGCCAGGCTGGTCTAGAACTTTTGACCTCGTGATCCATCCACCTCGGCCTCCCAAGGTGTCTTGTATTGTATTGTATTGGGATCTATCTCTCTCTTTAGCTTTGATAATATTTGCTTTATATATCTGGGTGCTCCAGTGTTGAGTGCGTATATATTTATAATTGTTATATCTTCTTGTGGAACTGACCTCTTTATCATTACATAATGTTTGTTTTTATCTCTTTCTACAATTTTTGTATTGAAATCTATTTCATCTGATATAAGTATAGTTACTCCTGCCCTTTTTTAGTTTCCATTTGCCTGGGTTATCTTCTTCCGTTCCTTTATTTTTAGTTTATGTGTGTCTTTATAGGTGAATTATGTTTCTTATAGGCAACAGATAATTGGGTCTTATTTTTTAAAATCCATTCAGCCGCTATATGTCTTTTGATTGGAGAGGTTAGTCCATTTTCATTCAATGTTATTGATAAGTAAGGACTTACTCCTGCCATTTTGTTATTTGTTTTTGGGTTGTTTCCTAGTCTTCTCATCCTTCTCTCCTTCCTTCCTGTCTTCCTTTTATTGAAGGTGATTTTCTCTGGTGGAATGTTTTAATTTCTCACTTTTTACTTTTTGTGTATTGATTGTATGTGTTTTGATTTGAGATTACCGTGAGGCTTGCACATTTATATTTTATAACCCATTATTTTAAACTGATGACAACTTAACACTGATTGCATAAAAATAATAAAATCTCTACATCTTAACTTCCTCCCATCACTTTTTAACTTTTTGTTGTTTGTATTTATAAATTTTGTACTGTTTGTCTTGAAAAGTTTTTGTATTCATTATTTTTGATAGGTTCATCTTTTAGTCTTTCTACTCAAGGTAGGAGTTTACATACCATAATTACAGTGTTATAATGTTGTGTGATTTTTTTGTGTACTTACTATGACTAGTGAGTTTTGTACCTTCAGATGATTTCTTATTGCTCGTTTTCTTTCAGAAAAAAAAATTTCTTTCTGAAAAGAAAGAAAAGTATTTCTCCTTTTCTTTCAGACTGAATAACTCCCTTTAGCATTTCTTGTAGGACAGGTCCGATGTTGATGAAATCTCCTTCAGGTTTTGTTTGTCTGGGAAAGGCTTTATTTCTTCTTCATGTTTGAAGGATATTTTCACTGGATTTTCAATGCTAGGGTAAAAACAACTTTTTTCCTTCAGCATTTTATATATGCCATACCACTCTCTCCTGACCTGTAAGGTCTCCACTGAAAAGTCTGCTGCCAGACATATTGAAGCTACATTGTATGTTATTTGTTTCTTTTGTGTGTGTGTGCTTTTAAGATCGTTTCTTTATCTTTGACTTTTAGGAGTTTGATTATTAAATGTCTTGAGGTTGTCTTATTTGGGTGAAATCCACCTGGCGATTTGTAACCTTCTTATACTTTAATATTGCTATTTTTCTCTAGGTTTGTGAAATTCTTTGTTATTATCCCTTTGAATAAACTTTCTACCTTTATCTCTCTATTTCTTCTTTAAGGCCAATCACTCTTAGATTTGTCCTTTTGATGCCATTTTCTCAATCTTGTAGGCATGCTCCATTCTTTTTTTGTTCTTATCTTTTGTCTCCTGGGATTATGTGTTTTCAAATAGCCTGTCTTCAAGCTCACCAATCCTTTCTTCTGCTTGATCAGTTCTGCTATTAGAGACTCTGATGCATTCTTTGGTATGTCAGTTGCATTTTTCAACTCCAGAACTTCTGCTTGATTTTTAAAAAATTATTTCAATCTTTTTGTTAAATTTATCTGGTAGGATTCTGAATTCCTTCTCTGTATTATTTTAAATTTTGTTGAGTTTCCTCAAAATAGCTATTATTATTTTTTGGGTGGGGGACAGAGTCTTGCTATGTCGCCCAGGCTGGAGTGTAATGGTGCCATTTCAGCTAACTGCAACCTCCACCTCCCTGGTTCAAGTGATTCTCCTGCCCCAGTCTCCTGAGTAGCTGAGATTACAGTTGCATGCCACCATGCCCAGCTAATTTTTATATTTTTAGTAGAGACGGGGTTTCACCATGTTGGCCAGGCTGGTCTAGAACTTTTGACCTCGTGATCCATCCTCTACGGCCTCCCAAAGTGCTGGGATTGCAGGCATGAGCCATGCGTCCCATCAAAATAGCTATTTTGAATTCTCTATCTGAAAAGTCACATATCCCTTTCTCTCCAGGATTGGTCCCTGGTGCCTTATTTAGTTCTTTTGGTAAGGTCATGTTTTCCTGGATGGTCTTGAGGCTTGTGGATGTTCATCAGTGTCTGGAAATTGCAAAATTAGGTATTTATTGTAGTCTTTGTAGTCTGGGCTTGTTTGTATCTATCCTTGTTGGGAAGGCTTTCCAAGTATTTGTAGGAACTTGGGTGTCATGATCTATGTTTTTGGTCACTGCTGCCACATCTGCATTAGAGGGCACCCCAAGCTCAGTAACGCTGTGGCTCTTGCAGACTCTGGCAGGTGGTTTTGGATAAGATCTGGATGAATTCTCTGGCTTACCTGGCAGATACTCTTGTTTTCTTCCCTACTTTCTCCCAGACAAATGGAGTCTCTCTCTCTCTGTGCTGAACTGCCTGGAACTGGTTGAGGGATGATACAAGCAACCCTGTGGCCATGATCACTGGGACTTAGCTGGGTCAGATCTGAAACCAACACTGCACTGGGTCTTACCAAAGCCCACTGTAACAACTCTCTGCTCATGTTCACTCAAGACCCTAGGGCTTTACAAACAGCAGATGGTAAAGCCAGCCAGGCTTACGTCCTTTCCTTTAGGGTGATGAGTTCCCTCAAGCTCTGGGTGGGTCCAGAGATGTTATCTGAGAGTCAGGGCCTGGAGTTGGATATTTTAGGAATCAATCTGGTGCTCTATTATACTGCAGCTGACACCCAAGCCACAGCTAAAGTCCTTCCCACTCTTCCCTCATCTTTCCACAAGCAGAGGCCACCTCTATGGTCACCAGGATCACAGGGCCATGGGAGTATTGCCAGGCTACTACTGATGTTCACTCAAGGCCCCAGGGCTCTTCAGTCATCTTGTGGTAAATGTTGTGAAACCTCAGACTCACCCTTCAGGGCAGTGGGCTCCCTTCTGGCTCAGGGCAGGTCCAGCAATGCCACCCAAGAGTCAAGGCCTAGAACTGATGACCCCAAGAGCCTACTTAGTGCTCAAACCCACTGTGGTTCAGCAGGTACCTATGCTGTAAGACAAAGTCCTCTTTGCTCCTCCCTCTGCTTTTCTTAAGCAGAAGAAATCTCTCCCAGTAGTCACCAAAGCTGGTAATATGCTGGGTCATGCTTGAAGCAAGCACATCTCCGAGTCCTACCCCAGGCCAACAACATGTACTACCTGGCTTTTGGGGCTGATTATTCAGGGCCCAAGTGTGTTTTCATCAATAGCAGATGATGAATCCTTCCAGGACTGGGACCTTCTATTCAAAGCAGTGGGTTCCCTTATGGCCCAGAATGTGTCTAGAAATGTCATCTGGAACCTAGGGCCTGTATTGGGTGCCTCAGGACTCTGCCTGGTTCCTTACCCTACTGTGGCTGAGCTAGTATCCAAGTTACAACACAGAGCCCTCTTTGCTCTTCCCTCTCCTGAAGCAGAAGGAAGGAGTGTCTTTTGGAGTAGAAGCTGTTAGCTGTGCTGCCTGGGGTTGAGAGAGGGGTAGCATAAGCACTCCCTTGGCTGCCCCAGCTGGTATCTCACTAGGTTGTGTGACCCCGATCCGCTGGCTCTGAGCCCACTACAGCACTAGGGCTTGCCTAGGAGTTGCAGTCCTTGTGGCCCAGACTGCCTTTCAAGTTTATTTAGGACCCCATTGCACTCTACCCCATGGTAGCAAATTCTGGCCACTGGGATGGACAGTCCCTCTGGCTAGGTGGTTTAAATGCTCCCTTCAAGGACATTGGCTGAGTTCTGCCTGGTGTTGCTTTCTTCTGTGACAGGGAAGCAATGAGTTCCCCTGAAAAGCCCCACAATCACTGTTCTTTCTCTCCCCTAAGTGCACAGATTCTCTATGCCATGTGGCTACTGCTGGGGGATGTGGAAGGGGTGGCATTTGCAATTCAAGACTGTCTCTCCTACTCTCTTCAGTGCCTCCTTCAGTGATATGAAGTTGAAACCAGGTACTGTAATTGCTTACCTAATTTTTGGTTCTTATAAAGGTTTTTTTTATGTGTGTGTGTGTGTATGTATAGATAGTCGTTAAATTTGGTGTTCCTGTAAGGAGGACGGTTAGTAGAGGCTTCTAGTTGGCCATCTTGCTCTGCTTCCTTCTCAGACAGAAAAAATTATGTTTGATTATGTTGTTACATCTATCTTGCTTGGACTCTTTCCCAATCCCCAACTCCACCTCACCTGCCATTTCTTCTCTTTCCACATTATAGTCATTAGAGAAAACTTAGTAGATTGTTGCTTACTAGAACCCTGGATCTTTCCCTCTGTGGGTGGGGAGGTAATCAGGTTTTGGATAGACAAATTTAAAGCAAAGACACTCTTTTGAAATAGAACTACATTCTTTACATTTGTACAATAAAAAGTACCATTTGCATGATTTCACAAGAAGAAGGGACCAGCCTTCCCTCAAAGTAGTACTGTAGGGCTCATCACTCCCAGGTGTAAACTGCTCTCACCAGCTTCTTCTCCTTCAGATTTCAGCCCAGGTACCCTATTAAGGAGTCAAGAGTCTCTGTTCATGGTCCTTGAAGGCAGCTTGAGTTCCCTGACTCAGAAACTTAAAATGACCAATGTCTCTCAGCTTGTAAGAGTCTAAAAGCAAACCAGATCTTTGACTTCAGAAAATTCCTCTTTGCTCAGGGGCTGGGCAGTAAGTTGGAATGTATTTGTGTGTATGGATAGAAGTGGTGAGATGCTAGAAAGCAGTCCCATTTCTCTCCTCACAATTTTTCCATCTTCATATAAAATATTTAGCCCAGTCTTTCTTTAGGACCAGCTCGTGGTAACTTTTCCTGGCACCCTACAATCAATTCATCCAGTCATATACTGACAAAGCAGCCCCCCAAATAGTGCTTTAGGTGGATAGTGCAGAAATAATACTGAGTACAATAAGAAACATGCAAACTCATTATCATATCTAATCCATTACCAAGTCAGGTCAGTTTTACTGCCTAAATATCTCTCCAGTGGTTCACATCTCTCCATCTCCACTGCCACCATTCTCATGTAAGCCACCATTATCTCTAATGTGGCTACTGCGAGGGTCTCCTAGTCTCCCTCCTTTGTGTACTCTGGTGCCCCCTTTAATACGTTTTCCTTTCCGCATGCTGAGCTCAAGGCCTTCATCTTGACTGTCCTAGAACAGTTCTCCCTAGGTTCCTGTACTTAGTTAACATCCACTTACACTTTAGATCTAAGAGCCACTTCCTTAGGGATGTTGTATTTGCTTCCCAAAGTTGTGTCATTTGCCCTTATGGAAATATCTTCTTTTACTTCCTTCACAGGATTAATCTCAATTGATAACTGAACACTCATCCATGTGACCATTAGATTAATGGGTGTCCCATCCACTAGACTATAAATAAAAGAAAGGGACACATATAAAAAAAGAAGGGGACACATCTTTTTTGCTCATGTTCTTTGCATCTCACACAGTGCCCAATGTGTAAGAATTTGTTGAAAAAATATATAATGATAAGAGGAATTTAAAAGGACACAGGAAGAAAACTGTAGCTAAATTTTGCCTCAAATAGATGGAGTGAGACCTTGGGGAAAAATCCAAGGCAAATGCACCCTCGTGTTTGTTTTTTGTTTTTATGACAAAACTCAATCTCTCTCTTGCTCTCCCGTCAGTTTCCCTCTCTGTTTCTTTCTATTTTGCTATCTCTCCTATATATATATATTTTTTTAGGTGGAGTCTCGCTCTGTCGTCCAGGATGGAGTGCAGTGACACGATCTTGGCTCACTGTAACCTCCGCCTCACTAGTTCAAGCGATTCTCCTGCCTCAGCCTCCCGAGTAGCTGGGATTATAGGTGTCTGCCACCACACCCACCTAATTTTTTTTGTATTTTTAGTAGAGATGGGGTTTCACCATGTTGGCCAGGCTGGTCTCGACCTCCTGACCTCAAGACATCCGCCTGCCTCTGCTTCCCAAAGTGCTGGGATTACAGGCATGAGCCACTGCACCTGGCCTCTCCTACCTTTTTTAAAAATAGAAACCTATAAATTTGTTTAAGTTCCTTGTAGACTCTGGATATTAGCCCTTTGTCAGATGGGTAGATTGCAAAAATTTTCTCCTATTCTATAGGTTGCCTGTTCACACTGATAATAGTTTCTTTTGCTGTGCAGAAGCTCTTTAGTTTAATTAGATCCCGTTTGTCAATTTTGGCTTTTGTTGCCATTGCTTTTGGTGTTTTAGTCATGAAGTCTTTGCCCATGCCTATGTCCTGAATAGTATTGCCTAGGTTTTCTTCTAGGGCTTTTATGGTTTCAGGTCTTAAGTTTAAGTCTTTAATCCATCTGGATGAAGCTGGAAACCATCATTCTCAGCAAACTAACACAGGAACAGAAAACCAAACACTGCATGTTCTCACTCATAAGTGGGAATTGAACAATGAGAACACGTGGACACAGGGAGGGGAACATCACACACTGAGGCCTGTCGGTGGGTGGGGGCTAGGGGAGGGATAGCGTTAGGAGAAAAGCTAATGTAGATAATAGGTTGATGAGTGCAGCAAACCACCATTCCACATGTATACCTATGTAACAAACATGCACGTTCTGCACATGTATCCCAAAACTTAAAGTATAATAAAATAAATAAATAAAGACAGGAAGATACCCTCCCCCCCCAAAAAAAATAGAAACTCTATCATCTCAATGAAAAATGTAACAAAGGGAAATAGAAGTTATTCTGTTTTGAAGGTCGGGCTTCAGAAGGTCTGAGATGCTCCACTAGAGTATGAATTAAAGCAACTCCACCAGGGGCCCTAGGACCCCTATGTTTATAATTAATTCTCTCACTTTCATTTGGATCTTTAAACAAATTCTTCTACAGTTTTATTTATTTATGAAACTTTTTAACAGAAAATTTCAAAATTATATAGAAGAAAATAGTATTTTAAACTTTTATGTATTCATCACCCAGTTTTAATAATTAATAACATTTTGCAAAGTTTGCTTTGTCTTTCTACTTCTCCTTTGGTTGTTGTTGGTGGTACTGAAGTAATTTAAAGCAAATGCCATTGTCATATTTTATTCATAAATAGTTCAGTAACTAACTTGAACACACAGGATTTTCAAAAACATATAACCCTAATGCCATTTAACCCCTAATAATAATAATAATAATAATAATAATAATAATTCTCTCGTATAATTTTAATGTTACCTAATTCCCTGCCCATGTTGAATCTTTTCTTTTGTTTAAAACTTGTCCTAAATTCGCTGCTTTAGGTTAGAATCAGACAAGGACTGCACATTGCATTCTCAAGTCTCTTTTAACCCATAACTGTCCTTTCTTCTCCCATCTTTTAAAATTTCACCTTTTTGATGGAGGAACTGAATCATTTATCCCATACAATTTCTGTTCAAGTTGTTCTTTATCCCCTCCATTTTCTATAAACTGGTAGCTAGATTTCTAGACTTGATTAGATTCAGATTCACCCTCTTTGGCAAGGATCACCTCTGGGTGGTTATGTGGACTTCTTGTTTATCACATCAGGAGACATATGATGTCTGGTTGCTCCATTTTTACTGATTTTAAGATTGGTCAGCTGATTAGATCATTAGAAGACAATTCTCCATGGGGCTGTTGTGTTTCTCTTGATCTTATAAGACAAGGCTCTAACTGTCTGTTGTCTGGATTGTCTTTTCAAAGATGTTTGTATAGTCAATGGTGTTGGAAGAAAGTGATAGTGTCTCCCTCTGGAGCAAAGGGCAGGCAAGCTTCTTAGCGTATAAAAGTATTAGAATTACCTAAGCTCAGAGTTTCTTTCCTCAGATGCAACCCATTACGTGTACAGGGTCATCTGTCCCTCTTTGTGTTGCTCTGTTAGAACTGATTCTTGGGAAACCAGTGCAGAAATGATGATACTCTGGCTACTGCTATTGCTATGAGTAATAAACGGTCCTTGGTCTCTGTATCTTAGTTTGGGTTCTCCAGAAAAGCAGAACCAATAAGATATATCTATATGAACCATATATCTATATCTATATTCATACCTGTATCTTTCTGTATATCTATCTATCTATTTAGAAAGTCAAATGTTGTATATAAAAGTTACTGAAATAATTATTCTTCGTAGTTATGTCACCAATTTGATAGTTAGGTTACTTTGTTTTTAATATTTAGTAACTGATTTTTTAAATTAATAAACTTTATATTTTAGAGTGGGTTTAGTTTGCCAGTAAAATTGAGCAGAAAATAAGTGAGTTCCCATATACCTCCTGTCCCCATACATGCACGACCTCCTCTGCTGTTGACATCCTGCATCATTTACTGCATTTGATGGTACACTTACTGCAATTGATGAGCCTACATCAGGACATCACTATCACCTCAAATCCATAGTTTACATTAGGGTTCATTCATGGTGTTGTAAATTCTATGGGTTTGACAAATGTATAATGACATATATCCACCATTGTAGTATCATACAGAATAGTTTTATTGCTCTAAAAATCATCTGTGCTTTGTATTATTCCTCCTTTCCCCAGCCCCCAGTCCCTGGCAAGCAGTTATCTTTTCATTGTGTTTATAGTTTTATCTTTTCCAGAATGTCATATGGTTGGAGTCATACAGCATGTAGCCTTTTCAGATTAGCTTCTTTCACTGAGTAATATGCATTTAAGTTTCTTCCATGCCTTTTCATGGCTTCATAGCTCATTTATTTTTAGTGCAGAATAATATTTTATTGTCTGGATGAAGCACAGTTTATTTTATTTTATTTTATTTTAGACAGCATCTTGCTCTGTCAGCCAGGCTGGAGCACAGTGGCGTGATCTTGGCTCACTGTAGCCTCGACCTCCCAGGCTGGAGCAGTCCTCCCACCTCAGCCTCCTGAGTAGTTGGAACTGCAGGTGCGTGCCACCACACCTGCCTAATTTTTTATTTTTATTTTTTGTAGAGACAAGGTTTCACCACATTGCCCAGGCTGGTCTCGAACTCCTGGGCTTAAGCAATCCACCCGTCTCGGCCTCCCAAAGTGTTGGGGGATTACAGGTGTGAGCCACTGTGCCCAGCAAAGCACAGTTTACTTATTTGTTTACCTACTGAAGAACGTCTTGGTTGCTTACAAGTTTTGACAATTAAAAATAAAGTTGCCATGAACATCTGTGTGCAGATTTTTGTGTGGACATAAGTTTTCAGTTCATTTGGGTAAATACCAAGGAAGGAGACTGCTGGATCGTATGGTAAGAATATGTTTAGTTTTTTAAAAACTGCCAAACTGTCTTACAATGTGTCTCTTCCATTTTGCTTTTTCACCAGCAATGAATGAGACTTTCTATTGCTCTGTATCCTTACAGGCATTTGTCGTTGTCAGTGTTTTGGATTTTGGCTGTTGTAATAGGTGTGTAATGATATCCCATTGCTGTTTTAATTTGCAATTCCCTAATGACAAATTACACTGAACATCTTTTCATATGCTTACTTGCCATTCATGTATCTTCTTTGGTGAAGTGTCTGTTAAGGTTTTTTGCCCACTTATAAATCAAGTTGTTCATTTTCTTATTATTGAGTTTTAAGAGTTCTTTGTATATTTTGGATAATAGTCCTCTATCATATGTATATTTTTCAAATATTTTCTCCCAGTCTGGCTTTTCTTCTCATTCACTTGACATTGTCTTTCACAGAGCAGAAGTTTTTAATTTGAATGAAGTCCAGCTTATCAATTATTTCTTTTATGGATCATGCCTTTTGTTTTGTATCTAAAAAGTCAGTGGCATATCCAGGGTCATCTAGATTTTCTCCTATGTTATCTTCTAGGAGTTTTATAGTTTTGCATTTTACATTTAGATCTTTGATCCAGTTTGAGTTAATTTTTTGAAGGGTGTAAAATCTGTGTCTAGATTCATTTTGTTGCATGTGGATGTCCAGTTGTTCCAGCACCATTTGTTGAAAAGACTATCTTTGCTCCATTGTATTGCCTTTTCTCCTTTGTCAAAGATCAGATGATTATATTTAGTTGGATCTATTTCTAATGTCTCTATTTTGTTATATTTATCTCTTTGTCAATCTATTTTTCTTTTTGCCTATGCCACATCGTTTTGATTACTGTAGCTTTATATTAAGTCTTGACGTTGGGTAGTGTGAGTCCTCCAACTCTGTTCTTCTTCCGGGATTTTGATTGATATTGTATTGACTCTATAGATCAAGTTTGGAAGAATTGGCATCTTGACAATATTGAGTATTCCTATTCATGAGCATGAACTATCTCTCCATTTATTTAATTCTGCTTTGATATCATTCAAAAGAATACTGTAGTTTTCCTTGTATAGATCTTGTATATATTTTGTTATATTTATTCCTAAGTATTTCATTTTTGGGGTGCTAATGTAAATGATAATGTTATTTATTTATTTATTTTTTTCTGAGATGGAGTCTCACTCTGCCGCCCAGGCTGGAGTGCAATGGCATGATCTCAGCTCACTGCAACCTCCGCCTCCAGGGTTCAAGCAATTCTCCTGCCTCAGCCTCCTGAGTAGCTAGGATTACAGGTGTGCATCACCACATCTGGCTAATTTTTGTATTTTTAGTAGAGACGAGGTTGCACCATGTTGGCCAGGCTAGTCTCAAACTCCTGACCTCGTGACCTGCCTGCCTCAGGCTCCCAAAGTGCTGGGATTACAGGCGTGAGCCACCGTGCCTGGCTGATGTTATTTTTATTTCAAATTCCACTTGTTTGTTGCTGGTATATAGGAATATGATTGACTTTGGTACATTAACCTTGTATCTTGCAATCCTACTATAATTGCTTATGAATTTCAGAAATTTTTAATCAATTCTTTTGGATTTTTTACATTGATGATCATGTCACCTATGAACAAAGACAGTTTTAGTTCTTCCTTTCCAATCTATATACTTTTTCTGCATTAGCTAAGACTTCTAGTATGATGTTGAAAAGGAATGATAAGAGAGGACATTCTTGCCTTGTTCCTAACCTTAGTGGGAAATTACCCCCCTTCTTTTTTTTATTTTTTAATTTCTTTTTTTTACTTTTTTTTTGAGACAGCGTCTTGCTCTGTTGCCAGGCTGGAGTGCAGTGGTGTGATCTTGGCTCACTGAAGCTTCTGCCTCCCAGGTTCAAGCGATTCTCATGCCTCAGCCTCCCGAATAGCTGGGACTACAGGTGCCCGCCACCATGCCCAGCTAATTTTTGTATTTTTAATAGAGATGGGGTTTCAACCTGTTGGCCAGTCTGGTCTCGAACTCCTGACCTCAAGGGATCTGCCCCCCACGGCCTTCCAAAGTGCTGGGATTACAGGCGTGAGCCACCGCGCCCAGCGAAGAAGTTTCCCTTCACTCCTGGATTGCTGAGAGGTTATTTCATGAATGGATATTGGGTTTTGTCAAATGCTTTTTCTGCAGCTATTGATATATTCATGCGATTTTTTTTTAGCCTATTGATTTTTGAATGCTGAACCAATCTTGCATACCTGGGATAGATCCCACTTGGTCATGAGGTATAATTATTTTTATGCATTGTTGAATTCAATTTGATAATAATTTGTTGAGAATTTTTGAATCTATAATCATGAGAGATATTGCTCTGTAGTTTTCTTGGAATGTCTCAGTGTGGTTTTGTTCTTAGGGTAATGATGGCCTCAGGATGAGTTAAGAAGTATTCCCTCAGATTCTATCTTTTGAAAGATTGTAGAGAATTGATGTAATAACTCTCTTAAATGTTTGGTAGAATTCACAAGTGAACCCATTTGAACCTCTGCTTTCTGTCTTGGGGAGTTATTAATTAGTATTTCAATTAATTTAATAGAAATAGTGCTATTCAAATAGCCTATTTCTTTTCTTTTCTTTCTTTCTTTTTTTTTTTTTTTTTGAGATGGAGTCTCACTCTGTTGTCCAGGTTGGAGTGGAGTGGCACGATCTCGGTTCACTGCAAACTCTGCCTCCTGGGCTCAAGTGATTCTTCTGTCTCAGACTCCCAAGTAATTGGGATTACAGCTGCCTGCCACCATGCCTGGCTAAATTTTTTTTGTGTTTTTGGTAGAGACAGGGTTTCGCCATGTTGGCCAGGCTGGTCTCAGACTCCTGACCTCAAGTGATCCACCTGTTTTGGCCTACCAAAGTGCTGGGATAACAGGTTTGAGCCACCACGCCCAGCCTCAGATAGCCTATTTCTTATGTGAGTTTTAACAGATTATGTCTTCAAAGGAATTGGTCCATTTCAGCTTGGTTATCATATTTGTAGGCATAGAATTGTGTATATTATTTCTTTTTTTCTTTTTAATGTCCATGATTTGCAGTGATGTCTCCTCTTTCGTTTCTGATATTATTAATCTGTGTCCCCTCTTTCTGTCTCTCTTTTTTTTTTTTTTTTTTTTTTGCTTAGACCAGCTAAAGGCTTATCCATTTCATTTATTTTTTCAGAGAACTAGCTTTTGGTTTTATTGATTTTCTGTTTTTAATTTTAATAATTTTTGCTCTAATTTCTATTAATTCTTTTCTTCTGCTTACTTTGGATTTAATTTGCTCTTCTTTTTCTAGTTTTCTAAAGTGGAAACTTAGATCATCGAGTTTAGATTTTTCTCCTTTTCTAACAGATGCTTTTAATGTAGAAATTCTCCTCATGGCATCCCCCAAATTTTGATATGTTGTGTTTTTATTTTTATTTAGTTCAAAACATTTAAAATTTTTTCTTGAAGTATTTTTCCGCATGTGTTATTTAGAAGTGTGCTGGTTAATCTCCAAGTATTTTGGGATTTTCCAGCTATTGTTTTATCAACTTCTAGTTCAATTCCATATGGTCTGAGAGCATGCATTGTATAATTTCTATCTTTTTAAATTTGTTAAGTTGTGTTTTATCACCCAGAACGTGTTCTATTTTAGTGAATGTTTCATGTGAGCTTCAGAAGAATATGTATTTTGCTGTTGTTGGATGAAATAATCTTAGATGTCCATTGTATCCTATTGATTTATCATGCCATTGAGTTCAATTATGTCCCTGCTGATTTTCTGCTTCCTGGACCTGTCCATTTACGATAGAGGGGTTAGTGGATTCATCTACTTCTTCTTGAAGTTCCATCAGTTTTTGCCTCATGTATTTTCTGTTGTTAGGCAGATACCCATTAAGAGTTGTTATGTCTTCTTGAAGAATTGACCCCTTTATCATTATGTAATGCCCTTTTTTGTCCCTGATAACTTTCCTTGCTCTGCAATTTCCTGTTTCTGAAATTAATATAACTACGACTTTTTAAAATTAATGTTAGCATAGTGTATTTTTCTTCAGCCATTTACTTTTAATTTATATGTGTCTTTATGTTTAAAGTTTGTTTTTTGTAGGCAACAGATAATTGGATCTTGTTTTATGATCCACTCCGAAAATCTCTGTCTTTTAATTTGTCCATTTCGACCATTGACATTCAAAGTGATTATTGATATCATTGGATTAAGATATACTATATTGTTACTGTTTTCTCTTTGTTGCCATTATTCTTTGTTCCCATTTTTGTCTTCTACTCTTTTTCCAACTTTTGTAGTTTTTAACTGAGCATTTTATATGATTCTATTTTCTCTTCTTTCTTAGCTTATCAGTTATACATCTTTTTTCAATTTTTAAGTGGTTGCCCTAAAGTTTGCAATATACATTTATAACTAATCCCAGTCCACTTTAAAATAATACTCCTACTTCTTCAAATGTATTATGAGTATCTTATAATAATAAAAATAATTCTAATTCCTTCTTCATGTCACATACATCATTACTGTCATTCATTTTACGTACACATACACATACATATGCATATCTGTCTATCCAAATAATCAAATACATTGTTGCTCTTATTATTTTGGACAAACTGTTTTCATTTAGATCAATTAAGAATAAGAAAAATAAATGGTTCTGTTTTTTATTCATTCTCTGATGCCCTTGCTTTCTTTATGTAGACCCAAATTTCTGACCTATATCATTTTTCTTCTCTCTGAAAAACTTTTAAACATGTGTTTGCAAGGTATGTCTACTGGCAACAAATTCCTTCCAAGTTTGTTGGTGTGAGGTTTTTGTTTCTCCTTAACCTTTGAAGGATAATTTCAGAGTGTAGAATTCTAGACTGGTGGTGTTTTTCTCTCAACAGTTTAAATATTTCATTCCACTGCCTTCTTCCTTTCATGGCTTCTGAGAAGACATTGGATGTAATTCTTATCTATGCTACTCTATAGGTAGGCAAGGTATATTTTTTCTTGGTGTAAGGTGTTTTTTTTGTTTGTTTGTTTTTTGTTTTTTTGCATTTATTCTGCTTGGTGTTCTCTGAGCTTCCTGAATCTGTGGTTTGGTGTTTGGCATTGATTTGGGGGAAAGTCATTATTGCTTCAAATATTGCTTAGTTTCTTTGTCTCTTTCTTCTCCTTTTGGTATTCTCATTACATATACTTACACCCTGTGTGGCTGTTACACAGTTTTTGGATGCTGTGTTCCATTTTTTTTTTTCAGTCCATTTTCTCTTGGCTTTTCAGTTTAGGAAATTTCTATTGTCATATCCTCAAACTCAGAAAATCTTTCCTTAGCTTTTCAATTTGCTAATGAGCACATCAGAGTCCTTCATTTCTGTCACAGTGATTTTCATCTCTGGCATTCCTTTTTTATTCTTTCTTAGAATTTTCATATCTCTGCTGACATTATCCGTCTGACTTTGCCTGTTATTTGCTTTTTCTATTAAAAGTCTTTGCATGTTAATTACAATTCTTAAAAATTCCTGGTCTAATAATTCTAATTTTCTGCCATATATGACTCTGGTTCTGGATGCTTGTTTAATCTTTTCAAATTTTTTACCTTTTAGTATGCCTTTGTAGTTTTTGTAGAAAGCGGACATGATATAATGGGTGAAAGGAACTGCACTAAATAGGCCTTTAGTAATGTAGTGGTAAGTTGTCGGGGGATGGAAAGCATTTTTTAGTCCTATCATTAGGTCTCCATCTTTTGGTAAGCCTGTATCTCTGGACTGTCAACTTCACCAGCACTTTGCAGTCCCCTCCACTCCTTATGTGGGACAGGATGTGTGTCCCCCTTAGGTGGGACAGGATGGCTATAGGAGGCTGGAGTTAAGTATTTCTTTTCCCCAAGGTTGATAAAACCCCATTAGTTTAGCTTCTAGTAAAATAGTTTCTCCTAAGAGCAGGCGTTAATAAGAATAACGGAATGCTCTGGTGTATTGAAATGTATCAGAAATACATTTTGCAAATGATTACTTTTTCCATCCTCCAACTGGAAATATGAGGAGATTTTTCTCTGATATTCCTTGTGAGGACCTCATGGAGTTTTATAGGTAAAACTCACAAAAATGTGGATATATCCTTATGACTGTGTTCCCTCTGGAATTCTTATCTCTCAGACTTGTCTACACTGAGCCTCCAGCAATTCGTCAATTGTAGTTTAGGTTCTCTTACCCTGGCACTGGTTCCTGCAGAGGTTTCTGCTCTGGTGTCATAATTTTCTGTATTTATTTTGTCTGTCTCTCCAATTTCCAAGACAATGATTTGTCCTGTGACCTCATTTCTCTGATGGATCCAAGAAAAGTTATTAGTATTTCAGTTTCATCGTGTTTTACTTGTTGTTAGGAGAGGGTAAGGAATTCTATGCTGTTTACATGGGAAACTCAAAACTGTAATTCTCAAGATTACTTGTTAATATTTGATTTAGTTTCATTTTTAAAATATATAAAACATTTATACAGTTTCAAAACCTGTACCTTATATGCTAAGCTTAATCAAAACTTGAAGTAGCATCTTCATACCACATATTCATTCATTCATTTATTCAACAGATATTTGTGAAATACCTGTGCTAGGCCAGTGCTGGGTCTATAATATTGAACACACAGGACAGAAATCTTTATCCTCATGGAGCTTGCATTTCAGTGTGGTGTTTGGACACACAACTCTCTTGACAATCTCTGCAGGTCTCCCTTACTCCTTTCCTCCTGTACCTTTTTGCTTTTCTCCTCTTGTTCATGGACTTCTCTGTGAAGCAGAAGTTAAAATCGGTCTTGGGTGGTTAAGAAAAATGAAAACTACCTCCCGCTTCTTTTTCTAATTTCTCGATATCCACATTATGTTGGTCAAGTTACTTAATCTCTGAGGCTGATTCTTCACATATAAAAAGTAGGGGAAATTTTTATAAATAGAAAAAATAACTACTATTTCAGAGAATTTTGAGAAGTAAATTACATACATGCCATGCCCTGTTATATGTGAGGGGTTGGTTCTAGGACTTCCCCTCTGCTCCTACACAAACAAGAATCCTCATACAGTCAAGTGTCTCAGCTGGCCCCGTGGAAGGAGCTTTTAGGAAAAATCAGCCCTCCAGATACTCTGGTTTTGTATCCTGCAAACACTGTATTTTCCATCTGCATTTGGTTGAAAAAAACTGTGTATAAGTGGTCCCTTGCAGTTCAAACCTGTGTTGTTCAAGGGTCAACTGTGTATATATTTATATATATGACAAATATATATTACCCTTAAATCTCTGACCAGAGACAGTGGGTTTCTATTTAGGGTTTCTTCATGTAACTGTGTTTCATCAAGGATTTCTGTTGTCTTACCATTTAGACGAGGAAACGTTGGCAGAGAATCACCTATATTCAAAAATTGCTGGCTTTGACAATATTTTTCTTCTGTATATCTGTTGCAATCTCCCTGTTCCTGGGCTTTGAGACTCCGTGTAGTTTTGCTAATGTAGTTTTATTATCACAATTATACCCCTCCACAAGTGATAGTTCTTTTTAGGCCAGTCTTTATTAACCAGTTTGCATTTATCAGAAGACTTTCAGCTCATTTATATCTGTGCTAATATTTTAAATAAACTCTGCAGTGGGTTGATTTATCACCATAGAATCAGATGATCACAAAGGATTTCAGAAATCCTCTAGTCTTGCCCTTGCCCCACCGTAGTAGTTCTGTCATGACACCATCCTTGATATATGGAAAGTTATTTTAATATTTTCCAATATTTACAGGGAGGATTCTAGGCTACAGAGTAAAGTGAAAGAGATGCAGAGTAGCCCAACAGATTCTGCAGAGGAAATAGGAAAGACAAAAAGATTAAAAATGGGAGTAAGGAAGGGAGAATAAGTTGTGGGGATAGACTCTGCTATCAGAATTTAGTGGACAGTATATCTTGTCCTGATATATTCACAACCTAGTCTGTAGAGGATCACCATGTAATAACTGGGCATGGCTTTTGGTGCCTACCTCCAATTACTCTATTAGTAATTAGGCATTATTTTGAAGACTCAGTATGCCTTTCATAGCCTATATTTCGGACGCCCTGTAAAACATTAAGTCAGGGCCGGGCGCGGTGGCTCACGCCTGTAATCCCAGCACTTTGGGAGGCCGAGGCGGGCGGATCACGAGGTCAGGAGATCGAGACCATCCCGGCTAAAACGGTGAAACCCCGTCTCTACTAAAAATACAAAAACTTAGCCGGGCGTAGTGGCGGGCGCCTGTAGTCCCAGCTACTTGGGAGGCTGAGGCAGGAGAATGGCGTGAACCCGGGAGGCGGAGCTTGCAGTGAGCCGAGATCCCGCCACTGCACTCCAGCCTGGGCGACAGAGCGAGACTCCGTCTCAAAAAAAAAAAAAAAAAAAAAAAAAAAAAAAAAAAAAAAAAAAAAAAAAAAAAAATTAAGTCAGGAAATATGTCATAAGCTAGATAACAGGAACTTTGCAAATAATAATGGAAAAATTTGAAGCCAGCTCAGAACTAGACAGGTCAGGGCCAGATTTACCAAAGTTTTCTGAGAAAGGGTAATAATGAATGCCTGGCATCTGACTCAAACCCCAGGGAAGAAAGCAGGCAGGGAAAGAAATGCTGGAGTAGGGGAGAGAACTAGAAGCAGAAATGTTAGAGAAAATGTATTCACTGTTCCCAAATTTTTGTGATTAATTTTATTATTATTATTTTTTAAAACCTAGAAGTACATATAATGAGAATGATCAGCAGAAGGCCTTCAAATGAATATGGATGCTGTTAAATATTTCATGTAGGATCTTTGAGCTTTTGGTTTTCTTTCATAAATATACATATACATATACATATATACACGTATAAATATATATATACACACACATATATATAAAGTACTTTGAGTTGCTGTTTTACCTATAGTTTTTTTTTAAGAAAAAAGAAAAAATTTACATCTTATTGGAAAATAGTTGCAAAAGGCTACAGAACTCAATCTATGTACTGGCATTGATTTATAATTATTAGCAATATTTCATGGAGAACAAAATACTTCAGCAAAAAGTCAGTAGATGGCAAACTTCTACAACCCTTAGGTTGAAGAAGGCCTGTAATATGTACTGGGGGTTCTTGTTTCTTTTGGGGTATGAGTGGTGGTTGACTTATGTGTGTGTATGTGTGGTATGTTGCAAAACACACTGATTGAAAAATAAGTCCTTTTTCAAACAGCTATGAAGACATTTACCAATTAAGCTAAATAAGTATGCATTAAAATCAGCTGGTCAATCAATCTTTCTTGAAGATCCCATGTAAGTGCCGTGGTTATCTCAGTCCCTGAGGAAGGGAGGTTGAAATAGAAGCTTCTTAAATTCCTCTTCAGTCCTAGTAATCTGTGATTTGAGGTGTTCCATCTTGACCCTGAGTCTTACTTTTCCTTAATAAGCCTCCCAATGTATTATGAACTGGAAGTAGATTTAGAAGGTTCCCAACTTTACACTGGTGGGGTAATGCTTGAATTTTATTTTTGGAAGAAAATTTTTAGGGAAAATGTTGAAGGATAACAGGAACATTTGAGTAAGTTCATTGGAGCACAAATAATATAATACTGTAAAATCACCTTCTGTGTCTTTACTGAAAACCTAGATTTGATGTTGACATCTTTTTTTTTTTTTTAAATTCAAGGAATCCCAAAATGTAGAGTTTATGCTAATAAATTATCGGGCAAAATTATTTCTTCATTTATTCTCTTAGAAAGTAAAATAAATTATCTCCAGAGCTAATAAGCACTGTAAATGTTCTCCTCTCAATCTCCTCCATCACTGTCACATTATTCTTTGATAGGACCGCACCATTACTGTCCTTCACACGTGTGATGTGTTAGAGAGGTAGCCAGTCCCTTAGTATCCATTTAGTAGTGGACATTTGTCTTTAGTCAGTATCCTTGAATCCCTTCTTTGAGAAATGACCATTCCTAAATCCATGTGATTCTGGCCAGACTCAATCATGTGGTCCTGCCATCGCAAAGGGTGGGGATATGACTCTTCATGGCTATCAGATTCCTTTTCAGGGATTTATTTTCATGCTGGGGGTCGGGGGCATGAAATGTACCTTTTATTTCTGTTCTTCCTAAATTGGAAGGATATATAACTTTGGCTGCTAATGACAATCATGGCTGTTATATGTTCTTAAGTTTATTTTGTCTAGTATTAATATGCTCACTGCAGCTTTTTTGGGATTAGTGTTGGCATGTTATATCTTTTTCTGTTTTTTTCTTTTAACCTATTTGTGTTTTTACATTTAAATTGTGTTTCTTATAGATAGCATATAGCTGCTTCTTGCTCTTTTTTCCAATTCAACCATCTCTGCATTTAAATTGTGTTTTTGACCATTTACATTTAATATGATTATTTATATAGTTGAGTTTTGTTTTATTTTGTTTTTAATTTTTTTATTTTAATAGAGACAGAGTCTTACCATGTTGCCCAGGCTGATCTTGAACTCCTGGGCTCAAGTGATCCTCCTGCCTCGGCCTCCCAAAGTGCTAGGATTATAGGCTGAGCCATTGTGCCTGGCTGATATAGTTGGGTTCAAATCTGTCATCTTACTATTTGGGTTTATTTATTTATTTTTATCTCTTCTCTTTTTTCCACTCTCTTCCACTTTTTCTGCCTTTTTTTGGATTGAGTATTTTTTATGATTTGATTTTGTCTCCTCTTATTAGCTTATTAGTTATTAGCTATGCCTTTTTTTAAGTGGTTGCTATAGCATCTGTAGTATACTTTTTAAGTGTATTACAGTCTATATTCAAGTAATATTATATCACTCATGAAAGAGACAACCTGCAGAATGGGAGAAAATAGTTGCAAATATATATCAGATAAGGAGTTAATAGCCAAAATATAGAAGGGACTCAATAAACTCAATAGCAAGAAAACCTGATTAAAAAATGAGAAAAGAACATGAGTAGACATTTCTCAAAAGAAGACATGTAAATTGCTAACAGGTATATGAAAAAATGCTCTGTATCACAAATCATCAGTGAAATGCAAATTAAAACTAAAATAAGATATTACCCTATACCTCTTAGAATGTTTGTTATCAAAAAGACAAGAGATAACAAGTGCTGGCAGGGATCTGATGAAAAGGGAACACTTGCACACTATTGATGGGAATGTAAATTAGTATAGCCATTATGGAAAATAGTATGGCGGTTCCTCAAAAATTTAAAAATAGAACTACCTTATGATCCAGCAATGCTACTACTTGGTATATATCCAAAGTATATGAAATCAGCAAATCAGTATGTTGAAAAGATATCTGCACTCCCATGTTCACAGCAGGATTATTCACAGTAACCAAAATGCAGAATCAACCTAAGTGTTCATCAATGGATAGATGAATAAAGAAAATGTGGTTTATATACATGATGGAACACTATTGAATCTCAAAAATAAAGGAAATCCTGAAAAGACATTATGTTATGTGAAATAAGCTAAGCACAGAGAGACAAACACTGCATGATCTCACTTATGTGTGGAATCTAAAAAGGTTAAACTCCTAAAAGCATAGAGTAGAATGTTGATAACCAGGGGCTGGGTGGAGGATGGGGGTTGAGAAGATGTTGGACAAAGGATAAAAAATTTCAGTTAGATATGAGAAATAAGTTCAAGAGATCTCTTGTACAACATGATGACTACAATTAATAACAATGTACTGCCTTCTTGAAGATTGCTGAGAGTAGGTTTTAAGTATTCTCACCACAAAAAATGATGTGAGGTAATAATGCATATGTTAATTAGCTTGATTTAGCAATTCCATATTGTATACATATTTCAAAACATCATGTTGTGTACAATATATACATACATTTTTAATTTGTCAATTAAAAAATAAATTTTAAAAAGATTGTCCTAGCAATGTGGGTATAAAAGTCTTATAACAATATACTTCCATTTCCCTCTTCCTGGCCTTTATACTATTGACATACATGTTACTTCCACATATCTATTATAAAACTCATAATAAATTGTTAGTTTGCTTTAAACAGTTAATTAGTATCATGTGTACCCCATAAATATGTACAGCTTTTATTTATCAGTAAAAAAGTTGAATCAACTTTATTGAGGTGCTATAGTGTAGATATCCTATTATTTTTCAATCATTACTATAGGTTAACATTAATGTTAATTCAAATTTCTATTTTAAATAGAAAAGTATTTACCCACATATTTATTATTTCTAGCGTGCTTTATTTTTTCTGATATCATTTTCATTCTGTCTAAAGATCTTTGCTTACATTATTTCTAATGCTGGTTGGCTGTTAATGAATTATTTTAGATTTTGTATGTTTAGAAAAGTCTTCACTTTGCCTTATTTACAAAACATACTTTCTCTACGTGTGAAATTCTAGGTCGATTTTTTTTTTTTTTTTAGTACTTTAAGGATATTGCCCTATTGCCTTCTATCTTCAATTGTTTTGATGAAAAGCCTGCTATCATTATTCTCTTTGTTTTTCTGTATATAATGTCGGTTTTCTAAAGGAGGGAATTATTAGATAAGCTTTTCATGGTTTACTCCTTTCTTTCAAATTCTTGGAGATTTCCTCAGACAAGTTTTTCAGCTCATTAATTACTCCTTAGTTTATTTCCCCAAAAGGTAAAATTACTCCTGCAATCACCCATCTATCCCTTCATTTAAAACAATGGTAATTGAGTTTATGTTGCATCTGGCATATGGCAGGAATATCTGTTTTGCTATACCTTTTTAAAATCACTGAATATTACTAATTTTAAAAAACGTCATTACATGCTATAGTATTTAATTATTCTCCAATATAGTTCTTTAGGATTTTTATTTTATTCCTTGCATTTAACTCAGTAATTTATTTGGAGTCTATTTTGCTAGCTGAGTGAGATAAAGTTTCTACTTTAAAATTATATTTTTCATTTTCAAAACATCTATTGTTTTTTTTTGACAAATACATTTGTTAAACTATTTGTGGTTCTTCTAACTCAAATTATAATTTTATGCATATAAAACTCTATTTTACAGTTAGTTATTCTTAGTTTTTTTCTTTTTCTTTTGGACGGAGTTTCACTCTTGTTGCCCAGGCTGGAGTGCAATGGCACCATCTCAGCTCCCTGCAACCTCCACCTCCCGGGTTCAAGCGATTCTCCTGCCTCAGCCTCCTGAGTAGCTGGGATTACAGGTGTGCACCACCACGCCTGGCTAATTTTGTATTTTTAGTAGAGACAAGGTTTTTCCATGTTGGTCAGGCCTGGTCTCAAACTCCAGACCTCAGGTGATCTGCCTGCCTCGGCTTCCCAAAGTGCTGGGATTACAGGTGTGAGCCACCGCACCCGGCCAGTTATTCCTAGTATTAAGCTAACTTTTAGTTCTTGTCTTAATATCAAAAATTATCTTCATTAATTCATTTAAAATTATTTTGTCTTATACATAGGCAATTCCTGCACATGATACAAAACTCAAAAGGCACAGAAGGATTTTGTATGAAAACATAGTCTCCCTCCAACTTCTCCCCTGACTTCCCAGTTTTCCTCCTTGGAGCCAATCACTATTATCATTTTCTTGTATATTCCTTTGGGGAAATTCTGTGTGTAAACAACCATATATGTCATATATTTTATAGATGATATAGATTATTTCTCTTTTCCTCTTTCTTTTATGCAAAAGTATATGCTATACCATATATATTCTCTGCAAGTTGTTGTTTTGCTCAAAAATATCTTTGCTCATCTGCATTGTTTTATTTTTTACAGCTATATTGTATTCCATTGTATAGTTGTTTATTTAACCAGTTTCCTACTGATAGATATTAGGATTATTACCAATATTTTATGATTACAAAAAACACTGCAACACTTATCTTTGAATAAATGTCATTTTGTTCATGTGGATATATCTGTAGGACAAATTCCAAAAGCAGAATTACTGGGGCAAAGAGTACTTGACCTTAAAATTTTGATAGCTATTTCAAAATATTTTCCATAAAGGATTAACACATTTATGTAGTTCCAATAGGTAGGTCAAGTCCCCTCATCATTATTTCATTATTTCTTTCCATAATGTTTTTATTAATCTACCTGTATATGCTCCTAGATGAATTTGGAATTCTTGTTTTCAAGCTTCACCCTCTCTCCAGTCCCACTGGGAATTAATATCCTGCAAATATTCTAAATTTCAAAACCCAGGAACTAGTTTTTCTTTTCATTTATTTGTCTTTCTTAACAATGTCTTGTAGTTTTCTTCACATAAGTTTTATACATTTTTGTTAGGATCAGTCCTAAAATGTTTATGTTCTTTGTTGTTATTATGTAGGATGTATTTTATGCTCTCTTTTTTTTTTTTTTTTTTTGAGACAAGGTCTCACTCTGTCACCCAGGCTGGAGTGCGGTGGCCTGATCTTGGCTCACTGCAACCTCCACCTCCTGGGTTCAAGTGATTCTCCTGCCTCAGCCTCCCGAGTAGCTGAGACTGCAGGTGCACGCCACTACACCCAGCTAATTTTTTTTTTTCTTTTTTTTAGTAGAGACGGGGTTTCACCATGTTGGCCAGGCTGGTCTTGATCTCCTGACCTCGTGATCCACCCGCCTTGGCCTCCCAAAATGCTAGTATTACAGGTGTGAGCCACCGCACCTGGCCATTTTATGCTTTTTCATATGACTGATTATTGTGGGCCATTTTTGTGCATCTTTTTGCTATCTTATGCATTGGAAATTCAGACACATTTTCTTTGAGATGGCTACTTGATTTGTGGGCTTGTGTTCAGTCCAAACCTAAGTGCCCATCAGTGGATGAATGGATAAAGAAAATATGGTATATATACACAGTGGAATACTATTCAGCCATAAAAAGAAGAAAATTCTGTCATTTTGCAGCAACATGTATAGGACTGGAAGACATTATGTTAAGTGCAATAAGCCAGGCTCAGAAAGACAAATATTGCATGTTTTCACTCATATGTGGGAGTTAAAAAAGTTGATCTCATGGAGGCTGAGAGTAGAATGGTGGTTACCAGAGGCTAGGAAAGTGGGAGGGGGATGAAGAGAGGCTGGTTAATGGGTACAAAAATACAGTTAGATAGAAGAAACAAGTTCTAGTGTTTGATAGCACAGTAGGGTGATTATTTGTTAACAGTAATTTATTGTATATTTCAAAATAGCCAGAAGAGAAGATTTAGAATGATCCTGACACAAATAAATAACAAATGTGTAAACTGGTGAATATCCCAGTTATCTTGATTTGACCACTGCACATTGCATGGATATATGAAAGTATCATGTGTACCCCATAAATATGTACAACTTTTATTTATCAGTAAAAAAGTTGAATCAACTTTATTGAGGCGCTATAGTGTAGATATCCTATTATTTTTCAATCATCACTATAGGTTAACATTAATGTTAATTCAAATTTTATGCTGCTGTAATTAACTTGCAACCCTAGTTTCCGATAACAAAATTCAGGCTCTTGAGGGAGAAGAAGGCTTTTGCATTTTAAAACCTTCTCTTTAGATATTAACAGCCACAGCCTGGAAGTCTGAGAACACAGAGGACATAGTGTTTATGTTGTAAACGTAGGGCAAAGAGGTGGCAAGATGATGACTCATGAACAGGCTTCCTACCACACCAAGAAGAAATAATTTCTTCTTGGGTTGGAAGAAACTGAGAGAAGAAAGCAAGAGAGCTTTGAAACTAATGTGGAACCTGGCCTTTCCTTTGGTTCAAAGTCCAAGAGGAGGAGCTTATCCTGATTCAGTAAGTTAGGTTTAGAGGACCATGCTGGAGCCATTGATTGGTTGCCGCCCATGCTATGAGTATAGTTAAATATTTTGACTATCGCTCCTGCCCTTAGGAATATTTGTTGATCTAACAGCAGAAAAGCTTCTGTCTCTGACTGCAAGCTGGACAGAAACATATGTTTTCGAGTGTCTTCTTTAAGAAAAAGTGTAGGCCAGGCATGATGACTCATGCTTGTAGTCCCAGCACTTTGGAAGGCTGAGGCAGGAGGATTGCTTGAGCCCAGGGGTTCAAGACTAGCTTGGGCAACATAGGGAGACCCTCATGTCTACCAAAAAAGAAAAAAAGGAAAAAAGAATAAAAATTCTGAATATAAAATTGGAACTGAAAGCAATATTTATTATGAGAAAAAAGTTTTGTTTATAAATTTTACAAAGTTGACAAATACCACAAATGTCACAGAAAACAGAAATACAATATAGTATTTCTATTAATTAACTGCCCGATGTACCACAGACTGACTAGCTTTTGGCATTGCATATTTAGAACTTCATCTCCCCTCCACTACTTCCATACTTCCAGTGCCAGGTGCTGCAGGGTACGTTCATATTGCAACACAATCCCTGGTCTCACATCTCTGGATGAGTCAGTGGGCAGCTGAGGTGTGCCTCCAAGCCATTCCTTCATCACAATGGTTACAGATAACAACTACACATGGAAGGGACTGGGAATCACGTAATATATCCCACTATACCCCAACTGAGTATAGCCCCAATTGGACTTCCCTTTGGCCAGATTCTGAGAGCTGCTGGTACTTTTCACATACTACCCAAGGGGAAGGAAGTGTGACAGAGGGGAAATTGGAGGGGAAAACATGATAGCCTTTATAAACCAAAATTTTTTATTTTTACTAGACTTTTTTTGGAGTAGTTTTGGTTTTATAGAAAATTTGAGACAAAGGTACAGAGATTTCCCAAATATCCCTGCCCCCACGTATGTACAGCCTCCCCTGTTACCAACATCTCCCACCAGAGTGGCATATTGGTTACAACTGATGAGCCTATGTTGACACGCAATGCTCACCCAAAGTCCATAGTTTACATGAGGGCTCACTCTTGGTGTTGTGCGTTCTATGGGTTTTTGACAAATGTATAATGACATGTATCCACCATTGTAGTATCTTACAGAGTAGTTTCATTGCCCTAAAAATCCTCTGTGTTCCACCTATTCAACTCTTTCTCTCCCCTAATCCCTGGCAACCACTGATTTTTTTTTTTTTTTTTTTTTTTTTTTTTTTTGAGACAGAGTCTTGCTCTGTCACCCAGGTTGGAGTGCAGTGGCGTGATCCCAGCTCACTGCAAGCTCCGCCTCCCGGGTTCACGCGATTCTCCTGCCTCAGCCTCCAGAGTAGCTGGCACTACAGGTGCCCACCACCACGCCTGGCTAATTTTTTTGTATTTTTAGTAGAGACAGGGTTTCCCCGTGTTAGCTGGGATGGTCTCCATCTCCTGACCTCATGATCCACCTACCTTGGCCTCCCAAAGTGCTGGGATTACAGGCATGAGCCACCGCGCTGGCCACTTTTGCACATTTTACAAAAACATGTAACCAAGTTGTAGTAAGCTCTTGGCGCCCCCATCGTATCCCCACAGGCCTTAATTTGGCTTGGCTTTTACCAGCATCTGTATCTGTGAGCCTGAGAACTTCTCTCCACAGATAGACCTGAGGATACATGGCATTTAAGAAGTACCAGATAATTAATTCTTCTTCCCTCATGCTCTGGCAGCCATCAACCAATGACTGACTAAAGGTGGTGTATCAGACCCCAGCATACTTCTTCTATAGATGAGATAACTTTGAGGCACAGAATTCCCCAGCAGGATTAAGCCTGGTACCCAGAATAGTAACTTCCTTGATTATGCCCCTTGATTGGCAGCTTTCCCTGTCTCACTTTACTCCTCTACTGGTATTTCGTGGCATCAGCTCCAACATAAACTGCTTGCATTTCATCCTTGTCTGCTCCTGGAGAACTGTAATGAAAACTCATGTAAATGATTTGCTAGTGCTCCTCCCAGGGCAGAGGACTGTGTGCACGAGGGGCCTTGAAGCTGAAGCTTCCTGAGCTTCATGGTACGTTGCCTCCACCTGTTTGCTACTTCAGGAGGGCAACATCTGTGGACTACAGCACAGTAATAATGGCAGCAAGACATGTTTTGGTAGAGAGTGCCTGAGATAGGCCCCTCATCTCCCTGCCCCATAGGTTATGGAGAATATTTAAGAAGTTTCCAAGGCTTCCAAAGCAGAGTAGGGGGAGGGGAGCTGAGAATTGAGAGCCATGGGGATTTCTTAGCACAGCATGAGGCATGGACAGCCTACCTTAGGGACTGTATAGAAGATATAGTTGATTATTTAAGGATGAGTCACACCCTCTAGACTGAGGTGGTGACCATCTCAGCAGGAGAAAACCACTGGGCTTCTTCCTGAGCAATCATTACACAAGGCTAGTGCTGAGAGTATGGTGGGAAGTGACACCAGCCAGGGAGGTTGGGGTAGATGCTCAGGAGAGAAAGGCCGATGCCCAAGATCATCAAGATGGGTATCGTTCAGTCGAGGCCAGTTTGGACAAAGGATGGCACCAATGAGCTATTCCCCACATGCCCCCAGGATAGCACCATAATCAAGGCCTGTGTGTCTTCCCCCAGCCATGGACCCTGGCTGGGGAGGAAAAAGGGAGAGTGGGAGAGAATCCTGAGGGTGCACTTCAAGCCAGGAGTGACAAAAGTACCCTGGATTGGTAAGAGCACAGTTTTCAATAGTAATGGAAAGGGGAGCTTGAGACTTGGAGTTACAGAGAAAGGATATTCCAAGATAGTGTACCCTGAGACATCTCCCTTGTGATCGGTGAACTCACTATTTACCCTTGAGCATTTGTCTTTGCACAGTGTTCTGTTGGATAAATTCCGAGAAATGGTTTGCAAAAGCTGTTGATTTTAAAATATAGTTCTTTTATCCAACACCCATTTAATTCCATTATTAAATCAAAAAATGTTTCAGTTGATTCCCTTGGGTAGTCCAGCCATATAATTACTTCCCCTGCTAATTGTGATGCATTTATTTTCATGGTTCCGTAGTTGTGTACTTCTGGCTTTTGTTCTGTCTTGTTGAACTGATTAGACTTCTAGAACCACTCTCACACACAAAATCTTATTTTATTCCTAATTTCAATGGTAATAACATTGTTTGGTAACTAGTGTGTATTGAGCAGTTATTATGTGTCAGGCATTGTTCTAAGCACTTTATGTGTATTATCTTATTTCATTGCCACAACACACTGTTAGGTTGGCATTATCCTTTTCCCCATTTTACAGTGAGGATGCTGGCCAGACAGGTGAAATAATTACCTAAGAGAGGGATTGGCCAAGCTGGGCTGTGACTTCTGGCTCCAGAGCCTGGTGGGTCTTACTTCTAGCCAGTTGTGTCAGTAAATGCTTAATATCAGCTTTCTGAAAAAAGCCCTGATCTGCAACATTCACTAATTTTTCTGGTGTAAATGTTCCCACCATGGCCGGCATGGCATCACTGAACACAGATTGGGAAGAGATCCTCATGGTTCCTTTTGAGAGCTGGTGCTGGCCACTCATGCCGATTCCAGCACACCACAGCCTCTGCTGTTGTGTCATGAGGCAAGGAGGTGGCTGCTGCTTAAGATATCTATTAGTTGAAGTTGTTTGATTTTAAGAAGCAGAAATCGGTTGGAGCTGGCCCAAGCAGAAAGCACAATTTATGATAGGGATACAGTCTCAGAATGAAGGGCAGGGGGCAGCAGGGCCTTGGGAAGGACTGGGAATGAGGAACAGATGTACTGTCAGGCCTCAGTGGGTCTCTCTGGTTCTTTGCTACAGGTCAGCATTCTCTGCATCTCTGGCCTACAGGGCAGAGCACTGCCACCCATTGCTCCTGAGCTTCCTCGCTGAGCTTCCTGCCACCAGCAGAAACCAAGGCCCTCTCTGATTGCTCAGTGGGTCCAGGGTCAGCCCCAGGTCAGCTAGCTATGGCCATGTGACTTTAGTGGGTCTGTTTGCCTTTGTTCATGATTATATTGGAGATATCAGTCTAGACCACAAGTATTCCTTTCTGACTCTAAAACTGTATTACACTTCAAACCCATTGTCATACCATGCTCCTCTGGGCTTCTCACATCTGGGCCCTGACCAGCTTTCTGACATCATCCCTGTTTGTCTCTCCTTTGGTCGCTCTGTCATTCTGGCCTTCTTGTTGGCTCTTGAACCTTATAAGCTCATTCTTGTCTCAGGACCTTTGCACCTGCTCTTCTGGTGTTTGTAAAGCCTGTTCCATGGATCTTCTCATGGTTCACACCTTCCCTTCATTCATGGTTTTTCCTCAGAGTCTCTCCCTGAGCATCCTGCCTCAAGCAGTTCACTCCATCCCTGCCTACCCTGTTATCTGATTTATTTTTCTTAATCATGCTTAACATTACATTAAGTTGTATTATCTTGTACTTGACTATCTGCTCGTGATCTCCCCCACTGGAATGTAACCCATGGGTCCAGGGACTTTGTCTTGTTGATGGCTATATTCTCAGCATCTGCAACAGTACTTGGCATGTAGTAATACTCAAACCCACTCATTGAATGCATGATTAAATGATACACAAATGAATGAATTGCAGACTTATTATAAAGTACATATCTTTAAAAAATCCTTAACTATTGACTTAGTTTCCAATTGTGTTATTGTGTATTCTGTACTTGAATGAAATAGCATTTCTCTTAAAATGAGATGTAATTCAGATTTTTAATGGTCGGACCTTCCATAACCTACCCTTTAGCATACTTTCTCCGAAGCCTTCCCTGTAGCAATCTAAATTGGTGAGGTTTTGCAGTAATATGTGGAAATAGGCTTTTATTGTTTATTCAAGGCAGAAAATAGTTGATGTTAATTATAATTTGATGACCATTATGTTTCTGTGGTAAGAAAGGGAGGGGCACAAAGAGCTGGGGTTCTATTTTCTGTTTTTAAAGGCTCTATGTAAGCAGAAAACATTATCCATTTGTTCACAAGTCTATTTCATAGGTGACTCCTACAAAAGTTACGTTTAGTTAAATCCCAGTATAGTAACTCTGAATTATCATCAAAATAAGTACGTGATGAAAAACAACACTCTGCCTGAAAAAAAATTGAGAAAAATATATTTCCAAAAGTATTCAAGCAAAAAAAGATATTTCTCTTTCTAATGAAAAATTCAGAGCAAGAAGGAAAATATTATTTTCACAAGAGGAAGTATGAATTTAGTCCTAGACAAGCCTATTTTCTTTCCAAAGCTGGAGAGATTTTCAGCTGAAGAAAATTGACAGCTTTACCTCTAGGCTGAATTTTATAGCTTTTATCAGCAACAGCTGGTTTTATGATGGCCGTACATTGCCCTGAACAAATTCGAGATTAACTGTAGGATTGGTGTTCTCAGAAAATTACTTACAAAATGAACATTTCTCTTACTGTTTTGTGAAGCTCCAGGCCTAATGTCCTTAACTTTAAAAAACTATCTCAGAAGTTCTTTCTTTTATAGCTAGAAGGTGATATAATCTGGTAAAATAGAATGTTCTTATTGCTAAAGCTGTAATTTTCAAACTTAGCTGTGTGATAGATTCACCTGGAAGCTTAAAAAAAAAAAACTCAACCACCCAATGCCAGAGCTCTACTCCAACCCAATTAAATCAAAAGGTGGGGCCCAGAAATCTTGGTTGTTATTAGTTTTTGATCATTGACAGGTGATTCTAACCTGTCGCCAGCATCGAGAACTGCTACCCTTGAGTCCTTGTCACATTGTGCAACTGAGCTACCTGCTACCCTTGAGTCTTTGTCACAGTGTGCAACTGATCCACCCTGGATGGGGCTTTTCAGTGGGGATGCTCACCTATGCTGCCCCCAGGCCAGGGGTCTCCAACCCCTGGGCTGTGGACAGGTGCTGGTCTGGTCCATGGCCTGTTAGGAACTGGGCCGTACACAAGAGGTGAGTGGTGGGCAATGGAGCATTACTGCCTGAGCTCCCCCTCCTGTCAGGTCAGCAGAGGCATTAGATTCTCATAGGAGTGTGAACCCTATTGTGAACTACACAGGCAAGGGATCTAAGCTGCATGCTCCTTATGAGAATCTCATGCCTGATGATCTGAGGTGGAACAGTTTCGTCCTGAAACCATCCCCTGTCTCACCCATCTGTGGAAAAATTGTCTTTCACAAAACTGGTCCCTGGTGCTGAAAGGTTGGGGACTGATTCCCTAGGCCAAATTGGGAAGACAGTTAAGGTTTCCTTTACTCTCTCATCTGCCTTTCTTCTGTGCTTTTATCCTCCCTTTGCCTGCAGTTCGGCTATCAGTTAAGCTATTCCTTGCTAAAAGATAATTCCACAAAGCTCTCACCCTTTCTAGTGTACTATTACCTCTTCCCCACTCCTCCCAAAAGGAACCACACCATGTAATGCAAAAGAAATACAGAGTGCTGTGTAATGTAGTTGGTGAGTTGGAAGTAAAATTGAGGAAAGGAGGGAAGAGTCCTTGGCTTCTATCAGGTCACTTTTGGTAAACAATAGTCTACTCCAAAGGGAAGTTCTGCTAGGTGACTCTGGCAACTTACTTAACCTTTCTGTGTCCCAATTTCCTCATCTTTAAGATGGGGATGATATTAATACTGACCTACAAAATCATTATGAGGATTAAATAGGTAAAATATTTGAAGAGTACTGGCCCACAATAAACAGGAAATGCATGTTGGCAATTATTACTATAATTATTACTCCTTTAAAATCCTTGAATTCATCATAACTGCATTATAAGGAGTTCTACATGGAGCTGGCTAATAAACAGAGAAGGCATTAGGATGGATTTTCTTTGGAAGCTAACACACTCTGATAGTTTTGAAAAGTATTTTGAGCTATGGCATCCTTATTGGCATATACACATAGTTCCTGTATCCCAAGGCAATGCTTAATTTTGGCCATTCATTTAGATGTATAAACGGCAACAGCTTTTGCAAGAAAAAGTCATTTTCTTTACTATATAATCAACCTTGTCTATCCAAGACTCCTGGGAGATGATGGAAATGAGGGTGAGCAACTGCATAGCTGGAGAGAAACAAGTGTTTCTCTAATTGACTAGTCAACTCAACACATTCATTAATTCAGCAAACATTTAATGATAAACTCTTTGCCAGCTGTCCTGCTAGGAAGCAGAAATACCATACAAAGAAGACATGGTTTATGCCCTCATGTAGCTCACAGTTCATTAAGCTTGTGGAAGTGGGTTTCGTGAAATTGAATTTTAAGTCACATAACAGAATGGTGAAGACGTGCCTTTGGCTCCACTAATTTTAGTGTTCAAAGTTATCCATCCCATTTTTTGTGTTTTAAGCCTTCCAAATTGACCACAATAAGTGAGGACACCATGAATAGGTTGGATTTGTTTATCCTCTCAAGGATCTCATTTTTTCTAGAAAGCTGGCTAGTCAAACAATGCATGCTTTCTTTTGGTGGAAATATGCTTCTTACCTACCACAGAAAAAGTAAGAAGACTACTCACAAAGAACTGGGAATAGATATGGCCTGGGACAATCTAATAGCCTTCTGTCCTTGGAAGAAACATGAATTTTTATCACCTGACATCTCAGGCTTGTTATCTTCTTAGTTTCTGATGTGAATGCATTGAATGTCAAATTGAAGTGGTGTTTTCCTCTATTTTTTTCTGTTTTTGGAGTCTTCCCATATAAGGCACAAAAGGGTCTTTTTGTTTTGCTTTGTTTTAAAGCTTTAATAAATTCTTGGAAGATTCTGGATTGCTTGAAATTATTTTTAGATTATGCTAAACATGGAGCTGCATTTTACACAAAAGTTCTTAAAAATTGTCCCAAAAGCTAATTTTTCCAAGTGGAATAACTTTAGAATTGAACATTTATAAGATTCGCTTTATGTTTTAAGGAGCTCTAAAATCTACATCATAATCTAAGAAGTCTTAATTTTGAACTTTAATTCACAACGATCTTCTACACGTGACATTATCTCACGTGTATCCTGTAGGCTCTCTGTTACGGTTAGCTCACTAGAAAGTGACCTAAGTGAGCTTAGTGTTTAATGCAGCATTACTGTGAATTTCCTTTAGAAACTCACTTTTATTTGTCTCCAGTCTACTTTTTCATCTATTTGTTTTTGGTTTTTTGTTTTTTAATTTTGAGACAGAGTCTCATTCTGTCGCCCAGGCTGGAGTGCAGTGGAGTGATCTTGGCTCATTGCAACCTCTATCTCCTGGGTTCAAGCAATTCTTTTGCCTCAGCCTTCGCATCAAGTAGCTGGGATTACAGACGAATGCCACCATGTCTGGCTAATTTTTGTATTTTAGTAGAGACGGTGTCTCACCATGTTGGCCAGGCTGGTCTTGAACTCCTGACCTCAAGTGATCTGCCCACCTCGGCCTCCCAAAGTGCTGGGATTACAGGTGTGAGCCACCACATCCAGCCCATCTATTTGTTTTATGTAATCTAATTTTCTTTTTAAAAACATGGTGAGGTGGCAAATGTCAAAGATGAACCCCAAAGGACCACACTTTGGCACTCATGCCCTTGTGTAGTCCTCTTCTGCATTAACTCCAAGCTGGTCTATGACTTTAACCAACAGAACATGGTGGAAGTGATGCAAAGTCAGTTCTATGACTAGCTTTTAAGAAGACTGGCAACTTCTGTTTCCTCCTCTTGAGACAATTGCTTTTGGGAGCCCTGGGCTCATATGAGAGAAATCTCTGCAGTGTCCTGCTGAAGAGATCATATGCAGATGCTCTGAGGCTACATGGATAGGGGGCAAGGTCCCCCTGTGTCAGTGTCCTAATGGGGCCTCTGGATGACTCCAGTCTTAGTAGTCCAAATGTAGTCCAATTTCAATGACATGAAAGATTTCAAAAGGGAACAGCAGAAGAACCACCTAGCTGAACTCAGCAACCCACAGGAAAGTGAGACAATAAAATGGCTCTTGGTTAGCCCCTGTGTTTTGAGGCATTTAGTTATGCAGCAATAGTTAACAGCACATGTGACGGACTTGTTAATCATAAGACTCTAAAGATATCATTTCTTTTTACCAAAGTGATTTGCTGTCCTCAAAGTAATTCATATATCAGTTTGGAAGATTTTGAGAGTAAAACAAGCTTTCAAAGCACTCAGTTTCTAGGTTAATGAATAGTATTCTTATTCTTGATCAAAAAACTCATCGAAAAGTGGGATTCTCTCTGTCCTGGTCCTCACCAGTGCTCGTGGCTTCTTCTCATCTTTCCCCTGCTCATCTGAGTCAGAGCTGGAACTGTCCCAGAGAAGCTGTCCCTGGGCCTCTTGTTCATGAAGCCATGTTTCCATTTTGCCAATTTTCCAGGGACAGTAGTTATTCACTGCTTGATGTTTCAAAAATTCTGTATTCTTTGAATTTCCTACAAAAAAATTAAGTTTCTTTAATTTTTTCCCTTAGCAATGATTTATTTGTTTATTAAGTGCCTAGCTTAATAAATAATCTGCTTGGTGGTTTTTCAAACTATATATACATAGTTTGAAAAATTATATATATATATAATATATATATATATACATTTCAACTGGTGTCTCTGTAAGCATTAAACATTTTTTAGTTGTTATTTTTTAAATGATTTAAATCTTCCAAAAGTCACAATAATACAACACACACCTATATACCCCATCCATCAACATTTTGCCACAATACTTTTTCATCATATATATGCATATATCTATCTATCTATGCATACTTTTCAGCTGAACCATTTGAAAATTAGTGGCAGAGTCACCTCCCCCCTAAATATATCACTACAAATCTCTTAAGACCAAGGGCATTTTCTCTGCATAACTACAATACAATTATTACACTTAAGAAATTTAACATTGATATAATACTGTTTTCTAATATATGGTCTATATTCAAATATCCATGGTTGTCACAATAATGCCCATTATAACTACTTTTTATTTGCTGTTTGTGTTTTAATCTTTAGGTCCAGGATCCAATCTAGGATCATATATTGCATTTTATTTTCTCATCTCAGTATCCTTTAATTCAAGAATACTCTTCTACCCTTTTCTTCTCTTTCTTTCTCCCACAATCTCTACACCCCATCACCGTTCCTCCTCTTTCTCCTCTTCTGTTTCCTCTTCCATCTTCATTGTCTTTTTCATTTTTCCTAATGTAATGCTGACATTTTAAAGAATCCAGGTCAATTATTTTGCAGAATGATCCTAAATTTCAGCTTACCTTATTATTTCCTTGTTATTAAATTGAGGTTAAACATTTTGGGCAAGAATATTGCACAGGTGACATTGGGTAGTGCTTTTTGTTGAACATCTACTATGTGCTAGACACATAATATATACTTCTGACATTCACATCAACTCTGGCTTCATAGCAGAATCACCTGTTGCAGCCTTTTAGAAAGAGATGTCTAAACTGTTCTCCAGACCCATAGTACTGGGAAGTTCAGTGAGTCTGGCATTCTATTTTACTTTATATTTTTTATTAAAAGAGACAATTTATTTTTAGTTTGGGATTTTATTTATGTGCATATGTATTTACCTTAGTTTTTTATTTAAGCAGTTCCCAGCATTCTTTATAAGGCACTCCAGAAAGCAACAGGAGCTTTGTTCAAGGAAAGCTGGCTTTTAAGAAAACAAAATCTTCCCAACCACTTTGGAGCTGAAACAAAAATCCTAGGTCAAAGCCCAGAGTTTCCCACTAGACTGGTTGAAACGACCATAACTTTTTGGATGTCATCTTAATGATGATTGTTTATTAAATCTTTTGGCATAGTTTATGTAAGCCCTTGATATCTGAAGTTGTGTATTATTATATAAGAAAATCAAGTATTTCTTTTTACCTTGTGCACCATATTGTTAAAAACTACTTTATTGAACTAAGATTGACATACAAAAGCTACACATATTGAATGTATACAGCCTGGTGAGTTGGAAACAAGCATTTTAATGTGAGAATTCATGCCTTGTGATTTCTTGGGCCTCAGTGAGAGGCTACCAGTTTTTCCCCTTGAATACTATTATAATGATTGTTGTTGCCTATTTAGATAGCACTGGCAGATAACCATCTTAACGTCTGCAGCCCTGATCTCTTTCCTAAGCTACAAAGGACGTTTTTGTAAAACTGGACACCTCCACTTTGATATCTACTTGGCAATAATGCAGCCCTACCTTCTCTTTCTCTCACAAACCTGCTTCTGCTCCTGGCTACCCTAATTCAGCAAACGGTACTAACTTTACCCCATTGTCTGCCTAATTGTTCAAGAGAAACCCAGGAATCTACCTGGCCTCCTTACCCTCTCCATGCACTCACATCTAACCTATCACCTGATAATTCTGATCATTCTGTTTCCTAAAGATCTCATATCTGGCTGCTTCTCTCCATCCTGATCGTGACCCCACTATCCTGGTCTCAACATCATCTCTCACTTGTGCTTTTGTTGTGTCCTTATAATTGGTCTTCCTTCATCCTTTTACTTTCCCCTCCCACCCATTCTCCACAGTGTAGACAGAGTGACATTTAAAAATATGAACCTGCTTATGCCACTCTCCTGCCTTATCAGTGGCTTCCCATTGATCTTAAGATAGAGTTTAAAATTCTTATCTGACATGGCTTACAAAACCCTGTGTGATTTGGCCCTGCCCATGTCTCCAGAACCATCTCCAGTTACTCTCTGAATCTCTCATTCACCTAGAGTCCATCGTGTTCCTTCCCACTGCAGGACTTTTGCACATGCTGTGGTTGATTACCATTTTCAAAATTCCAGCACCCATGGTCCTCACACCTACATGCCCTCCTCCCCACTTCATCCAGCTACTTCTTATCTCAGTTTAAATGTCCCTTCCTCATGGAAACTTTCCCTGACTCCACAGATACCAGGTCTACCTGTTATACTCTTGTTAAACATCTCTTTGTTAAAACCAGAAACCATATCTGCCTGGCTCATCACCATACAATGAAACGACCACACAATGCCTGGCACTTGGTATGTGCTAAATAAATATTTGGTGAACAAATAGATGAATAAATGAATAAACAAATGAGCAATCAGAGAATTTTGGGAGATGGGAAGTATTGGTAACTAGGACCTAAAAAAGGCCCCATTCATTGGGGCTCAGGAATGCCAATCATCTCTGCTCTGCAAATTAGTCAAGAACTACCAGAGGCACCATTCAGACTGGGAACAGGAATTTTCTAGAACATCCAGCTATCAGCAGGAGCTCTGAAACAGAAGGGGAATGTTTGTTTGTGGTGGGATCTAGTGAAATATTAATGATAGCCTAAGTCCCACAACACCATTGATGTTATGAAAATTCAGGTCTAATGTTAGTGTATGAGACAAAATTCAAATATTCAGTTTCATCCTTGAAAATAAATCCTTTGTCACTCATAAAGTATTACATACATAGTTTTGTGTACACAGCATTAAAATTTGAGAGCTTCTGAGCTAGGTTTCTTATTACTTGTTACATTTTTATAAATCCTCATTTAATTCTCTGTGGTTTATAGACTTTAAAAAATAAAAACACAGTGTTTAAAAACCTAAATGGGTTTCGGGTGAGCAGAGTAAAGGAAAGTGTATCCTACTCCAAAATTAATTTAGGGAGAGAGGAAAGCAACAGCTGTCAGTGGGAAAAATAGGAAGTGATTTAGGTAGTAGAAGAATCACGTAAAGCATGAAAACTGTTTGATGGTTGTGTATTTTATGTGTTTCAGAAAAATGTATCACTACTCTATCAAACCCAGAATTTCACATACAGAGCTATATTAAAAAATAAAACAGGCTGGGCACAGTGGCTCACGCCTGTAATCCCAGCACTTTGGGAGGCCGAGGCGGGCGGATCACGAGGTCAGGAGATCGAGACCATCTTGGCTAACACAGTGAACCCCCGTCTCTACTAAAAATACAAAAAATTAGCCGGGCATGGTGGCGGGCGCCTGTAGTCCCAGCTACTCGGGAGGCTGAGGCAGGAGAGTGGCGTGAACCCGGGAGGCGGAGCTTGCAGTGTGCAGAGATTGTGCCACTGCACTCCAGCCTGGGCGACAGAGTGAGACTCCATCTCAAAATAAATAAATAAATAAATAAATAAATAAATAAATAAAATCTATAAAAAAATAAAATAAAACAAGATTCTTTATAGAAAGAGTGCAGGTGGCCAGATAAGACCAGAATTTTGAAGCTGACATTAAAATAATGGATTCAAAGTGACACATCCCTGAAGCATATGACTGTTTTCACTATAAGACATCAATTGTGGCCAGGCGCGGTGGCTCATGCCTGTAATCGGATCATGAGGTCAGGAGTTCGAGACCAGCTTGGCCAACATGGTGAAACCTCGTCTCTACTACAAATACAAAAGTTAGCTGGGCGTGGTGGCAGGCACCTGTAATCCCAGCTACTCGGGAGGCTGAGGCAGGAGAATCATTTGAACTTGGGAGGCGAAGTTTGCGGTGAGCCGAGATCATGCCATTGCACTCCAGCCTGGGTAACAGGAGCGAAACTCTGTCTTAAAAAAAAAAAAAAAAGACATCAATTCTATCCTTCTTCAGTTTTGTCTATATTCCCATACATTTGTACGGCACTTAGCTTCTTTTTTTTTTTTTTTTTTTTTTTTTTTTTTTGAGACAGAGTCTCTCTCTGTCGACCAGGTTGGAGAGCAGTGGTGTGATCTCGGCTTACTGCAACCTCTGCCTCTCAGGTTCAAGTAATTCTCGTGCCTCAGCCTCCCCAGTAGTTGGGATTACAGGCATGTGCCACCACTCCTGGCTAATTTTTTGTATTTTTACTAGAGACGGGGTTTTGCCATGTTGGCCAGGCTGGTCTCGAGCTCCTGACCTCAAGTGATCCACCCTCCTCAGCCTCCCAAAGTGCTGGGATTACAGGCATGAGCTATGGCCTGTAAAGTGCCTGGCCACACTTTACATTTTATGTGTGCTTTTATACATGTTAATTTTTACATAAACTTTACATGGTATACAATAACTTTATTCCCATTTTACAGATGTGGAAACTGAGGTTCCTGGAGGTTAAATAACTAGAATTTAGCTATATTCTTTCTCTCTCTAGAATAAAATTATATAGAAAAATATACAGTTAATATTTATTGAGAGGCTATCATGTGTCAGGTACTATTCTAGGGACAAGAAAAGGTCCCTGCCTTCATGGAGCTTCCATTTAGTAGATGCACTACTGGGACTCAGGGAAGGGCTTTGAGGTCAGTTCCGGTGCTCTTCCCACCCTCTGTGTTCATTCATGTCACAGCTTCAGCAAAGGGTAGGAGCCACAGAAACACATTAAATCTCATAGACTTGTACACCAAAAAGAGTGACATTCACTATGTGTACATTATATATCATTTGTGTCATATGATTGTATATGTAATTTATTATAGGAATGTATGTAAAATACATGTAAAGCGTGGGAGATTTCATTTTAAAGATGCAGTAGAAAGCAGCAACTGACTTTTATCTCACAAGAGAGCCACAACCCTCATTTCACCTTTCAACAGGGGAACAAGAATGGGCCAGTATGTCATTAAGAGGAGACTGCTACAGAGGAACCTTAATGACCAGACCCTGATAGTAGAATGCTTAATGACCAGACCCTGATAGTAGAATGCTTATGTAAGTGTAAGATCTTAGCTACACTCCATTTGTAGGAGAAAGCGAACTACTTTTAGAAGGCGTGGAAAGAAATCAAAGATGCTCTCTGGGAATAAGCAAAAAGGAATCATCGCTAGGACAAATGCCGAGCACAGAGGTGAAGGCTGTCGCCTCAGGAGTCAGGTGCCCCGTGAGTGCACGCCTGAGCAGCTTCACCTCTCACTGGCTGGCTGTGACCTTGCATATGTGACTGGACCTCTCTGGACCCAGACTCTTCATCTGTAGAAGAGAGGTGGTAATAATTTTCACCTTGTAGAGTTAATATGAAGATTAAATGCTGCATTTAAAATTCTTAGAAGCACTTGTAAATACTAGCTGTATCCATTATTATCCCAGTATCCTATACTTTTACATGTACAGGGCTGCACAGTGAACACTGCAGCACAGAACAGAATGATATCCTTTGGAGGCATTGTAATCTCTCTATCATCAAACAAATTTCCAGTGATATTTGCTTTACTTCTCTTTCCAACAACTTCAGCAATAGGCAAGTGAGTTGATGCAGACATGTTATTCTAAAAGTCTAGTTAATTATGATATCATTATAATAGGAAGAGTTAGAATTCCCTCTCTATTTCATGCTAGCAAAATCTACATTTTCTAGGCTCATTTTGTCACGTGTATCTCACACACACACACACACACGTACAGGAGTTGTTACAAAGAAAAAGATTCTCATACGGTTAAAGTGTTGAAAGAGTTCTCAAGGGTTATCTAGTCCATCTAAGTTTGGTTAATGTTCAAAATCACTTGAGGAACTTTTAAAATGTAAAATTCTTTCACCATCAACCTAGAGATTCAGATTCGGTAGGATGAAGCTGGGAGACAGGACTGGGTGTTTCTTTTGTTTGTTTTGAGATGGAGTCTTGCTGTGTCGCCCAGGTTGGAGTGCAGTGGCATGATCTCGGCTCACTGCAACCTCTGCTTACTGGGTTCAAGCGATTCTCTTGCCTCAGCCTCCCGAGTAGCTGGTATTACAGATGCCTGCCACTGTGCCCGACTAATTTTTGTATTTGTAGTAGAGACGGGGTTTCACCATGTTGGCCAAGCTGATCTCGAACCCCTGACCTCAGGTGATCTACCCACCTTTGCCTCCCAAAGTGCTGGGATTACAGGCATGACTGGGTGTTCTTGAGAAGCTCCTCAGGTGGTTCTGCTCATAACTGAGCTTTTGTGCACTACTGATGCAGCTACACCTCCCTGACTGGCACTTGAATTGGTTCCTGCCTGAGTTACTCCTTCTATTCTCCCTTCTCTACACTCCATCACTTCCAGGAGAACATGAGCTCCAAAGTCTGCCAGCTGCTTTAACTTTCCTTTCAGAAGTCGCAGAGTGCAGCCTTCTTTGTAAATAAGGTCAAGGACTCACAACCCCCACATTTGCAAACTTTTCCAAAGCTGTCCTTGACAGAGTTCCAAGTCCTTGGTGTCCTGGTGGGGCTGTGTGAGAGTGCAAGTCAAGAAGACCTGACCTTGAATTCTGGCTCTATCACCCTGGGGCGAATAGTAGCTCCTACCTTCTAGGTTGTGTGAGAATTAAAAGAGATAATGCATATTAAAGGCAAACCACAGTACCTGGCTTATAGTAAGCACTCAACAAACCTTAGCTTGAACAAAACGAAGCAGCTTTAAAAAGCATCAGGAGAGCAGAGGAAAACCCCTTTCTCCATGTGCCAGTTTCTCCTTGGTCCCCTCCAGGTCTGAGACATCTTCCAGGGACTTTGCCAATGCTGGTTTTTCTTGGCGTGCTCTCAAGTGATGACTCTTAAATGTCTAACTTTAGGTGAGGTTTTTTTCTTGGTTGTTTTGTGTATATTTTTTAAGGTACGGTTTAAATGGTAAAAATTGTTTATGTGACTACAAAGGATATTTCATTCTGAGACTTGGAAGTATAGGTTAAATAGATGCCCCAAGTAGATTTTCAATTATTCAGCCTTTTCTTATTTAATTAACTTATTGATCGAGCGTCTTGTTTCTCCAAGTAGGAGCAGTGTCTCTTTCAGCAGGCAATTTTGCGTCTTAGAAGTTCAAGACCTCCAGAGACATAGCCAGCTTTTCTGCAGCTCTCTCAGCGGTGGGTCAGTCCTGCTGATGTGGGGATTTGGCCCACGGCACAGCGATCTGTGTGTGTGAACAATATTGGAAATTTCAACTGTGGGTTTGCCCTGGGGAAATACAAACAAGGAAAACTTAATGGGGCTCTAATTGGTGGGGCAATGTAGCGTAGAAGTTGTAGACAAGCCTGTCCATTAGAAAGCATAGAGCGATCTGAGAGCATAAACAATTTGGCCTGGCTGAAATGTGGGGGCTGGGTGCGAGAGTGGCAGAAGATGAAGCTAGAAAGGCTAGGTAGGCAATGACTAGATCCTGAATGGCTTAGGATCCCATGTTGAGTTTATTTTATTTTATTGAGACAGAGGCCTTGTTATGTTGGCCAGGCTAGGTTTTGAAATCCTGGCCTCAGGTTGTCCTCCCACCTCAGCCTTTTGAGTAGCTGGGACTACGGGCATGAGTCACCACACTTAGCTCCATGTTAAGGAGTTTAGATGTTGTTTTTAAGCTGACAAGAATCCTGCTTGTTTTTCTAAGCAGGAGAGTGACATGGTCAGATTTGCATTTTATGAGATTACTCTGATGTTAGTGCAGTGCTTCTAGAACTTCAGTGTGCATGAGAATCATCTGGCAATCTTGATAAAATGCAGGTTCTCATTCAGTAGGTCTGGGGTATGACCTCCATTTTTGCCTTTTGTAATAAACTCCCAGGTGATACTGATGATGCTTGTATGTGGTAATACTTTAATTACCGAGTAGAGTTAAGAATCACTTAAAGTTAAGTGTTTCTTAAACTTTAAGGGAATCACAATAACCTGGAGGGGTGGTTAAACCCAGAGTACTGGGCATAACCCCTGCAGTTTTTGATTCAGTTACTCTGGCTGGGGCCCTAACAGGTTCCCAGGTGATGCTGATGCTGGTGGTCTGGTGACCACATGGAGAACCACTGAAGTGAATCATTGATGGATGGACAGTAAGACCTAATGGGAGGGGCCAAGTCAGGAGGCTGTAGCTGGAGCCCTGGTGTAACAGGACCAGGGCTATACCTAAGGCAATACTACTGGGAATGGAAGAGAAAGGGCAGATTTTACTGCTAGGTGATATCAGCAGGGCTTGGTGACCGACCAGCTGTAGGGAGATAGGGAAGAGTGACATTGGAGGCCTGGTTCACTGAGCCAGTAGATCAGCAGGAACAGCAAGCTTAGGTTGGGCAGTGATTCATTCTAGAAATTCTGAATGTGCCAAAGAGAGTTGACCTCCACAGAAAAGGGTGCAGTCAGGAAGATAAGTGTCTGCATATGGTACCAACTCTGCTGAAGCAAATTTGCCATGTGACTGCCGGCAATATATCTTCATATGCTTCATTCTCTCTAACCACAAGATGAGGCTATTTTGCCTTTTCTGCTTCTAGGGATGAGGCAAGACTTGCAATGAAGCATGCAAAGCATATTAAACCCATACAAAGAAAGAGACATTTAATTACCAAGCTTAAGCTTCTGTCTTTTCCTCCCAGCCATCCAAAATTACATGACAACATGCCCACTATATTCTGGGAAGTAAAAATCTCAGCAAGAGCTCAAAGCTGTTTGCTGTCTTCTCATCATGTCCCTCCCTTGGTAGTTTATTTGATGAAGTTTTAAAAACACTTGAAATGTTTTACTAAAAAATTGTACATGACTCACCGGGACCTCTGTTCAAGATTTCATCAGGCAACATGGTTAGAAGGTCATGGTCATCATTCCTTGGGGTGCTTTGAAGGGTTTTCTTGGCTTTATGGTCCCTTGGACTTTGCTTATTAATTCTTGCCTCTCCATGAAGACTTTTCTTTAACTCCATTTGGGCCTGAAAATCATCAACTATAAATGATCAATGTTCTTCCCAAGCTACTTTCACCAGACTAGATCAACAGATCAGCCACTTTGCAAGTTGTGTGCTTATCTGTAGACATCTGCAGTCCTCTAACCAGAACATGGTTTTCTTTTTCCTATTAGAAGGTATGGGAACTTTATTTATTGACAGGCTTGTTAAGAGAAAGGTGAGTGCACCCAGTCTCAAAAAGGTATGGCTCAATTAAGATGAGGACCTTTACAAAAGTGTGTTTCTGTCAGCTAGCTGATATGATTGGAGTTCCAGAGAGCAGTAACTAAAGGCTCATTTCCTAGAGGGAGGAATTTGGAACATGACAGTTACAGGCATTACTGGTAAAGGGTTTTTTTGTTTGTTTGGTTGGTTGGTTGTTTTTTTTACAAGAGGTCTTTCTTGTTAGATAATTCTATGGCAAGAATTATAGAGAGAGGCCTAGGTATCAGAATAAAGAACAACTCACCCCCTCCTCCTTTCACTAAACCAAGAAAAATGATCTAGCCCCATTTTCCTATGTCCAGAATGTCATAGGAGCAAACTGTTTTTAAAAATGGAGACTTGCGACACAGATACACAGATACAAACTTAGAAAAGACTCAACAAGGTTATCAGCAGAAGGAATCTTCCTGATTCTTCTCAGCTTTAGTAGTTGAACCTTCAACCTCAATGACGAAATTTAAAATGCTAAGTAAAGACTGGCTATCTATGCTTGATATATTCATGTGGCAGGGCAGTGATTATGTGATGAAAATTTGGTAAATATGACACTCTTCTCGTATTTACCTCTTGTCTTTTACGGATCATTTCCAGCACTTGCATCTTATGCAAATATTGTCTGTTCTCAGAAGTATACATTGGAGTTTGCATTTTCTTTTCTAGTACCTGCTATGAAAGACAACACACTTGTTAGTATGGGGTAATTTGTTACTGACTCTGCAATTCACAAGTTTAGATCCTTTTTGAAACAGAGTCAGATCTTAATCAGTCATAACCTGTAGAGATATCTTGTGATGACAAAAGTGGACTATCGTGTGTCCCTGACAAGTCCTTTGTGTCACTATCAATGAATGAAGTGGCTCTTTGATGTGTATATATGTAGTTTTTTAGGTTGCTATAGAGTTTTGTAAACCTTAAATGGGAATATCTTTCCACATCTCATTTTTGGCAAGATATCACTTCCTTTGTAAACAGATGCTTATTACCACCTCTCCAGAATTGTGTTCTGGTTTGAGGAAACCTTTCTTTTTCTCCCTGCCTCTTTTACCATTGAGTAATTGGCTGGCTATGAAATGAGAGGGAAGCTGCTGAATGGTGAAATGGAACCTATTTCTATAGAGTGCATTTCCATATGCCAGCATAAGCCTTGGAGAATATTGCAGTTTAGGGAGGATTTGAAGTTGATTATTTGTGACTCTGAACATCTCCCCGCCAGTGCATCATAAACTCCAGTGGGACAGTGCAGACGGTTATTGAGGGCAGCCAGAGGTCAATATACCTTCATTTGTCATTTGCTGTTGCCAGGAAAGATGATGTGTTTGACAATACCTTTTGTGTTGCTGTGTGGATAGTGACTGTCAGCTGATGTGAACCTCAGGGAGGGGCCATCTCCACAGATGCTGTCAGCACCACAAACGTGGGCTTGAGGATGTGACAGCACCTGGACATCTTTGTCAAGTCAGCCAGCCACACAGCAGCACCTAGCAAGCTCCAAAACAAATTAGGAGTGGAAAGTGTTGAAAATCTGCTTCTACCTCTAAGCTTTCATTTCTATGTGAGGGGAGTTCTAGTCAACAGAACATTATAAGTGCATAGCAGGGAAAAGATACACAGAAGACATTTCCCAGGATTAATTTTTGGTGAGGTTGTGTCAAATAAGTCAGGAATAACTTGTAGATAAGATTTCTCCTGCAAACTGAGAATAAAAAGTTTTAAACTGAGGGGAGGAATGAAAGGGAGGACTTATGCTGAATTTTTCACAGATTTGAAAACTTCAGAATCACCAATTTCTAAGTAAAAGTCTTTTCTCATCTACATTGCCCTGGTTTTCAACACAAAGCAGAAAAGGGTGCAGAGCTCATGCAAGAGGTAATAGCCACTGCCAGTTGGAGGCATGCACAGAAGAGAATAAATAGCTTTGAAAAGTTCTCACTCTGAATGACTTAACAGTTTGATTTGTCTTTGAACTCCTCCATGCAGAGAGTGCATGAAAGGACCAGTGTGCTCCAGTGCCCCAATCCTGTGTCGCCCACCCCCAGTTCACCTCCCTGTCAGGTTACTGCTGCAGCTCACCTTTGCTTTGTGCATTGTCCTGGCTTCTCGCTGGCTCAGGAGTCTTCCTGAAGTAATTACTCGTGGCAAGTCAATGGGTTCAAGCTTCTAGAAGTTCAACGTTTAGAGCAGTCAGCATTCCTCATGCCATGAGATGATGAAACAGAAAAGCCAGACATTAAATTATCTTAACACTTTGCAAAAGCGGCACTTATTTCTGAGAGCATACAGGAAAGGTGATTCTAACAGCATTACAGTTATATTGGTACAAAGGGCTTTTCAACCTATCTGGGTTCTTTATTATTCTAGTGCACTGTCGACAGTGCCTTATTGATCTAAGTGTTGGTCAGAGAGTTAGGAGACTAAGATACTCTTCTGTCTGCATTAAGGGACCATGTCCAAAGTTATCAAACCACCAGGATCTTAGAATATTAGAGATAAAAGAGGCGCTAGGAATTTATTTTATTTCACACATCCCTTAGGTACCCAGCTGAACTATTCCAGCCCTTAGGGAAGCAATCTGTTTTTAAGATCTCTAGAGAAGCTCCTTAGTAGTAATCACTGGTGATTATGAGACACATTTAAAATGAAACTGCAGTGTGCTAACACATTTTAGAGATGTCCTTTTCTAGCAGGGGCTTGGCTTGATAGGGGAGATCATGTTGGCATTTCAGGGGGTCACTAAGACTGGGCAGCAATTCATGTCAACCGGTCTGCCTCCAGCCGGATCTTGATCACTGAGAAGTGATCAAGCAGGTTTGGGAGACAAAGTCTGGTCTCTTGACATTGACATGCAATGGGGAACGTGGAGGGCCACAGAGTTTATGTGTTCCTTCAGTGACTACTTAATGACTGCTACATGCCAGACATGGGGATGCAACGGTCACCAAAAGTGGATGTGGCCCCTCATGGAGCTTACAATCTATGCATAATAGATGTACATTTGCTTGTGTGATTATTCAAGTGATAATTACACTGCAGGGCAGAAAAAACCTGCAGGGCAGAAAAAATCTGCAGGGCAGAACTATGACACTACATAACTGAAGGACTCCACCTGAAAAACAGGGTGTGTTAGGGGTTGAATTGTGCCTCCCCACAAAATTCATATGTTGAAGCCCTAGCCCTCCATACCTCAGAATCGGAACTTATTTGGAAATAGGGTCATTGCAGATATAATTAGTTAAGATGAAGTCATGCTGGAGTAGGGCAAGCCCCTAATTCAATATGATAACGTCCTCATTAAAAAGGGGAAATCTGGACACAGACACACACACAGGCAGGACACGATGTGAAGATGAAGAGAGAGGTTGGGGCGATGGTTCTTCAAGCCAATGAACAGCACCCAAGAGTGCCAGAAAACTACCTAAAGCTAGGAGAGAGTCGTGGAACAGATCTTCCTCACAGGCCTCACAGGGAACCAACCCTATGGACACCTTGATCTCAGTCTTCTAGCAAACTAAGGCAGGAGGGAAAGGGCTAGGGAGGCAGTTCAAGAAAGTGCCTTAAGGTAGTACCTTTTTAGTAGAAATTGGAAGATTGGGAGTTTTTAAGGGACTAAGTTGTGCCATAGCCCTGAGGTGGGGAGTGATCATGATCTCTTGAAGGAATGGAAAGAAATTGGTTGGCTGCAGTTTACAGTAAGTGAAACAGCAGCTTGGAATGAGCTGAGAGGTGAGGCAGGGGCCAGGTCATGCAGGGCCTGACAGGCCATTAAGATAGTGGTCCCTTAAGAGCAATGAGAAGACACTGACATGCGTTAAGCAAAGGAGTGACACGAGTACATTTGCTTTTTAAAAAGGGTCATGCTGGCTGCAGTGTGGAAACTAGGAAGGAATAATTATGGATGTGGAGAGATCAGCTAAGAGGACAAAGATGATGGGCTGGGGTTGAGAGAGGGAAATTGATGAGCTCTACAAATGTTTAAAGCTGACCAAACAAGATTCATTATGGTTAGTAAAGGGGAGTAGAGTCCACAGTACAATGAATGGAGGGTGTTATCATACCCTGTGATGGGCAATCCAGAGGAAGACCTAGTTTGGGTAGGATGTAGAAGGAAAATACAAATTTGGTGTGCAATAGATTGAGTTTGAGACACCTTTAAGACAGGCCAGTGTAGATGTTGAGTTATACAGGGAGCTTGGGAGGAGAGGTCTGTGCTGGAGATTTTGGGGAATAATCCCAGAGTAGAGCATGAGTGAAGCCCAGGTCATGGGCAAGGTCAGGAGTGAGAAGAGAAGAGCCAACAACTGCAGACTCCAGGAGTTCCAGTGGTGAGGCTGGTGCCCAGGAATAAGCTGGCCAAGGAGACTGGGAAGTGATGGCTCAAGAAGTAGGAGGAAAACCATGAGGACATCATGCTGCTGCAAAGAGTGTGAGCCCTACTCCCACCTTAGTCCAACGCTGAAGGCACATGCTAATTTACTTTAAAATGGTTTAGTTTTAGTGTGATTTGTTGCATTATTAAGGGGGTAGATTTGGAAGTTAACTTGGCTTTCAAGGTGACCAGAATAAAAAGAGAGAGTGGAACCACGGAAGATAGATACTGGATATTCAGCACTTGTAATGGGGAGCATGACCTGGGTTCCCCACTACTTCCCTGTACAACCACTTCTAGGTCCCTGGTCCTGGACTGGAGAGCACCCAGCAGTCCTTTCTGCTGGAGCAGCCCAAAGTAGACCTGGTAAGGAAGAGAAGAAGGGCAAAGGATGTGGAGACAAAGAAGAGACAACAAGGGGGAAGAGCTCATCTTTGTGTTAGATATATACCAGATAGTAATTTGCATTTGTGGTGGGAAGTGGTTCTCTGTTCCATTCTCACCTCAGAGGAGGAAGTGGGTCTTTTAACATAACTTAGCAAAGATGTAATGAGAGGAGATCAATCCTAGTAAGAGGAGTTTGTCTGTTCCCTGAGTCTTAACTCTGCAGGACATGAAGATGCAAAGCAAATGGGACCTGCTGGCACAAGAGGCAGCTTCTGATCAAGTCAGAACCCTGCAAGAAAAGGGGAAGGAGAAGAAGGGGAGGGGAGGCCAAGGGAGAGGAGCCCCTCAAGGCACCTATGGGAGGAAGAATCAGGAATGACTGAAGGGGGATTTCTGGAAGCTGGGGAGAACAAATATTTGTGCCATCCTCTGGACATGGAGAGTGTTCAGGATTTGGTTCTTTCTCATTAGGCCTATATGCCTTCGCAGCCATTACTGCACGCCATGCCCAGGGTTATAAATATGTAATCTCATTCAATCTTCATGTGAACTCCGTGGATAATTACGAAGATTCCCCATTTCAGACAGGTTGCTGACTTGTCCAAGGTTGAACAGCTAGAAAGTGGCATCTCCAGGATTTAAGCGCAAGTGTGTCCAGCTCCAAATCTAAAGCTCTTTTCTGCACTATATGTTATCCAAAATGGCTTATCATCAGACTTTTCCGGGATTAAAAAAAAAAAAAGAAATTCTTGGCCCCTTCACTAGAGATTGAGATTCAACAGGTCTGGGGTATGTCCTGGAAATAAATATTTTCAAAACTCTCCCAGGGATTCTGATGATTTCTTTCTAGGTTGGGGGCCATTGACTTCCACATTGCCTTAAGTGAATAAAGGAACGACATCATAATAGACTACGGAGGATTTTTTTATGTGGAATATTTTTGAAAAATTGAGTCTGAAGAAGCCAAGAATTTTTAGTTTTATTAAACTAATCTATCCATAAATTCATGGACCAAGTTTTTGCTTTGATAGTATAAATATGTAGTTTCACAGATCTCTTTCTTCCATTTTCAGCCTTTCTATTTAAACACACAATTCTAATAAGGGTTCAGTGGTAGATATCTTCAAGAACTCTCTCCAGGTTGAGTTTCTCCCTGGCGTTTGAAAAGAGCCCAAGGAATCACACTATTCCTTCACAAAAGCCACTAGATGGCAGCAACTAACATTGCACCTGGGATCTCTTCATTAAATCCTTTGCCACTTGATTTGAGAAGCACTGCAGAAAATTGTTGGTGAAATTGGCTTCTGCTAAATTAACCAGTCAGATGAAATTGCCTCAGAATTCTGGGTTTGTGTGCATGTTCCTTTTCCCTGCCCAGGAAGTGAGATGCCTCACTTCATCATCTTCAAAGAGAACACAATGGAAGGAACTACCAGAGAATCGGTTAGAATGACACCTTATTTTCACTTTATAATGTAAGTATCATTTGTCTAAAGACTTCTGGATTATTTGACTTCTCAAACAAAACAAATGATCAGCATAATCAGTTGAAGCGTCTGCTAGGAGATTTGGGAATCTGGTGAAGGGCCAGGGGACTCAAGAGTGCTGATATGGGGGTTGCAATGTCAATTGATTGGTCAGGGTGGGTCTTATAGGGACAGTGAGATTTGAACAAATATTTGAAGATGAGGGAGTTATCCAAGGAGATCATCTGAGGACACACTATATGTGTGGGGGAAACACCTCCAATTTAAGCTAGACCTGAAATGGTTGGATAAGAAGGTGATCAGGCCAGAGGGGACAGTGCTAATCAACTCCTCAATAAAAAGGCCCATTTGATTCGGAGTTCCCTGGCAGAGGCTCTCAAAGCCTCTCAGCTCCAGGCTGGATAACGCTAGTTCATGACTTGCTCTTTATTTGAGGAGTAGATGTTTAGGAAGTAGAAGGTGCCAAAAATATATCTCAAATAATTTAGCATACAATTAGATTTGGTTTAATAATTTAAAATAATTTTAGAATTTTCTTTGGCAGAAATTAGGCTATTAATTAGCATGTCATGAGGACCCAGCATGTATTATTCTCTCAAAAACTCATTTGTGCTGGAAAATGTGCTGAGCTTCATTTGTGAAGATAATTATAGCTGATCTCTTTGGGAGTGTCTGCCAAGTTTCTAGTGATTTCCCTCCTCTCTGGGAGCTGACTTCAGAGTCTACAGGGGAGATGACTCTGCCCACATATCTACTGCATGAGCATATCCTCTGGCCATAGCTCATTGGACCAGAGCTGAAATCATGAGCAAAGCTGAGCCGATATCCTTTCTCCTAGGAATCTGGAATTGGAGTCAAAAAGGCCAATCTGTCCATTTGACTGGAACTGTAAGATACAAGCTCAGGGTGGCCATATTTCATTGTGTACCTGAAGAACAGAAAAAACTGATCTTTGGGGAGAAAGAGTATAGCAAATGCACAGAGAAGAACTTAGGGATTGAGAGAGCTCTGCATTTCAGGTTGCAAGGTATAATTCTTCCCTGAAGCTTAGGTGTCTCCCAGATCTTTGGTTCAATAAAACATTCCTATATCCTTTGATTAATCATGTTAGTTATTTTTGCTAGTCAATGAGACTTCTAATACAGTCATGTTACAGTGATGGTACAGACTTCTAATACAGTGATTACAGGTCTGCAGTAGCAGGGAGTGCACTTTGAGTGCTTTATCCCCCCTCCAGCAGGGATGATGGGTCTCACTGTCATTCATTTACTCATTCATTTTACTCACAAACCTTTGTGGATCTCATATTAAGTATTAATGGCTGAAGACATAAGATTGAATAAGACATAGTCTTTGCAACCTACAGAATGGGAGAAAATTTTTGCAGTCTATCCATCTGACAAAGGTTTAATATCCAGAGTCTGCAAGGAACTTAAACAAATTTACAAGGAAAAAACAAACAACCCCATTAAAAAGTGGGCAAAGGACATGAACAGACACTTCTCAAAAGAAGACATGCATACAGTCAACAAACATGAAAAAAGCTCAACATCACTGATCATTAGAGAAATGCAAATCAAAACCACAATGAGATACCACCTCACACCAATCAGAATGGCTATATTAAAAAGCCAAAAAACAACAGATGCTGGAGAGGTTGCGGAGAAAAAGGAATGCTTTTACACTGTTAGTGGGAGTGTAAATTAGTTCAACCATTGTGGAAGACAGTGTGGTGATTCCTCAAAGACCTAGAGGCAGAAATACCATTTGACCCAGCAATCCCGTTACTGGGTATATACCCAAAGGAATATAAATCATTCTATTATAAAGATACATCGATGCATATGTTAATTGCAGCACTGTTCACAATAGCAAAGACATGGAATCAACCTACATGCCCACCAGTGATAAACTGGATAAAGAAAATGTAGTACATATACACCATGGAATACTATGCAGCCACAAAAAGGAACGAGATCATGTTCTTTGCAGGGACATGGATGGAGTTAGAAGCCATTATCCTCAGCAAAACTAACTCAGGAACAGAAAACCAAACACTACATGTTCTCACTTATAAGTGGGAGCTGAACAATGAGAACATATGGACACAGGGAGGGGAACAACACACACTGGGGCCTGTCAGGGTTGGTGGAGAGGGAGAGCATCAGGAAGAACAGCTAATGAATACTGAGCTTAATAGCTAGGTGATGGGATGATCTGTGCAGCAAATCACCGTGGCACTTATTTACTTTTATAACAAACCTACACATCCTGCACCTGTACCCCTGAACTTAAAAGTTGAAGAAAAAAAAGGCACAGTCTTTGCACTGAAATAATTCATTTGTCTTGATTCTTTGTTTTTAAGATGGTTGGTTAGGGTGTGTGTGTATGGGGGTGGTGGTGCAGTGTTTGACTCTGAAATACCAATGTTCTCTTTTTGACCTTGTTTGACTATTGAGAAAATCAAAACCTAACCTCCTTTGTTTAGGACTGATAGATATAAAAAGTACTTGTGAGCTATAAAGTACTAGACAAATATTTTTTACTAGAGTAATATCTTCTATTTGAACTAATCAGCTTAGAGGCTTCACAGAAACATGTATTAAACTCATCCTTTGAAAGGAAGTATTTGATTTAGGAATAAAACACATTTTAAACTGCCCTGTTTACCTAGAGGATTTGTAAAAACTTGTAAATTAGATATTAATTTGTTATATTTCATTTTATTTTTCTTTATCTAAATAATGATTTTATAGTTTCTAATATTTTGGGAAAAGATACTCTTTTGAGACAAAATGATACAATCACTTCAAATAATGGCTGTGAGCTTCTGCAGAAGACAGGTAAATAAAAACCAACTGAAACAGAAATAATCCCCAACAAATGAGCTCCAGTACCCCTGGGATTGGTCCAGGCATCTGGGTGAATTGTGTAGCAGGTGGGATTTGGCTTCAAATGTCAGTGATAGATCCTGCTCACAAGAGAGCCCCAAACCCTCCTTCCAATGATGCTCATTTTCAAGGACCACTCCAATCTACCCATTCCCTTTCTAGGTTGAGAGTTCTTAAAATGTATAGCTAGCTGCAGAGAACCCATTAAATATTTATTGGGGTGAATGCGTTTAAAGCTCTTGCTTTGCTTCCTTGGAATCCAGTGTCCCGAATTTAAACAACCAGTTAACATCTAGAACAATAAAAGGTTAAAGATAGAAGGACTATAGAAATTACTTATGCTGACAGTTAAGAGTACAGACTTTGGAGACCTGGTTG